>NC_000001.11:52432622-52584138 GCF_000001405.40 Homo sapiens | reverse complement strand
GTATGTTGCCACTGCTCCCTGGAAACCACGTATGCCTGCTGTTGCTCCCACTGCCATAATAATGGATTCTCGATGGTCACCAGTTTCTAATTCGAAGTTTTGGTTGGATACAACTAATTGGTGGGTACATGCTTATCTGCAAGGGAGGCTAGGAAAACGAGCATCTTGCGCTTTCTGCTTCTATATTAGCTTTCTATCTTTCACCAAAACCCATAAGGAGTCTCCCAACATAGAAAAGAGGTTCAGATGTGGGGCACTCAGAATTGCAACTGTCCTCTACACTCAACAGATAGTTATTGAACTTGTAATATTGTGCCTTGAGAATACAAAGGTGACCAACACACAGCATCTGCCTTTGAGAATTCCAGGTCTGGTTTGGTAGGAGACAAGTGAGTAAATGGGCAATTTGAATGCACTGTGATAATGGCCAGGATAGAAGAAAGCAGAGGGGACTCTGGGATTACAAAAGAGAGGAACTGATTTTTATAGGAAATCAGGAGACATCAGGGAAGATATTCTGCAAAGATGACATCTGAGACCCAAAGGACAAAGGAGTGTTAGCCAACTAAGAATTACACTCTCCCTTAAAAAATTAGCCAGGTGTGGTGGTGCCCGCCTGTGGTCCCAGCTTCTCAGAAGGCTGAGGTGGAGGATCACTTGAGCCTGGCAGGTTGAGGCTTCAGTGAGCCATGATCATGCCACTGCGCTACAGCCTGGGAGACAGAGCAAGATCTTATTTCAAAAAAATAAAAAAGAAAATAAAAAAGAATTACACCCTTCCACCTCCCATCCCGGGTACCTATTCTCAAAGTCTTCAATATGAGGCCCTTTGTTTGGCACCTGGCATCCAACCCAGAATTGGAAACATCATTGGCCAGGTACCCCAGCCTCCTGATATGAGGATGGAGACTGAGCACAAGTTTCTACAATACAGAGACATATTCCCATATGCACTGAATATATTCCTTCTTTCCTTAATATTACCAGTCACTTTAGGAAGTTTCTTGTGGGGGGCGCGGTGGCTCACACCTGTAATCCCAGCACTTTGGGAGCCCAAGGTGGGTGGATCGCTTGAGGTCAGGAGTTCAAGATCAGCCTGGCCAATATAGTGAAACCCCGTCTCTACTAAAAAAACAAAAATTAGCTGGACATGGTGGCGTGCACCTGTAATCCCAGCTACTCGGGAGGCTGAGGTAGGAGAATCGCTTGAACCTGGGAGGCAGAGGTTGCAGTGAGCCAAGATCACACCACTGCACTCTAGCCTGGGTGACAAAGTGAAACTCCGTCTCAAAAAAAAAAAAAAAAAAAAAAAAGGCTTGGCTGGGCACAGTGGCTCACGCCTATAATCCCAGCACTTTGGGAGGCCGAGGTGGGCATATCACAAGGTCAGGATTTCAAGACCAGCCTGGCCAACATAGTGAACCCCCATCTCTACTAAAAATACAAAAAGTAGCTGGGTGTGGTGGCACGTGCCTGTAGTCCCAGACACTCGGGAGGCTGAGACGGGAGAATCACTTGAACCCGGGAGGCAGAGGTTGCAGTGAGCTTAGAATATGCCATTGCACTACAGCCTGGGTGACAGAGCGAGACTCCATCTCAAAAAAATAAATAAATAAAAAGAGGAAGTTTCTAGAACTTCCTAGCCCTGTGCTAGGCAGAGGTAGAAGACGAGAAAAAGACGGCAAAGTCATGGCTTCTGCTCTTACAGTTTACAGTCTGAGATGGATACAATGGTACACGTTATAGTCCCAGCTACTCAAAGACTGAGGAAGGTGGATCACTTGAGCTCAGGAGTTTGAGGTTGTAGTGCACTATGATCGTGCCTATGAATAACCACAGCACTTCAGCCTGGGCAACATAGTGAGATCCCATCTCTAAAAAAACCCAGAGCTTACAATGTCGCTGTTTTGCCTTCTGATATGTAACTTGCTTTTTCTGTTTGAAGAAATAATTCTTTATATTTGAAATTCAATAATAACCAGGATTAATCTGTCTTTTGATGGTATTGCTGGATAATTTATTATTTGTCTAAAATTTGCTGAGTAACCTGAGGAAAAGCCTCACTCTCCGGACCTCCTGTTTCTCAACTGTATGAGGAGGGGGATAATGAGTCTTGTCAGTGTTGTCGGTCTATACTTCCCTGACTGGATTTATGAATGAGCAAGCAGAGCAGGAAGTTTGAATTTTATATGGGCTGTGAGCAAAAAGTTGCATAAAAACTGAGTTTGAAGAACTGTTTATGAAGGCTGCAGCAGGACTTCAAGCTCTTGAGGGAAGATGGACTACAATAACTACCTTCAATTCAACTCAAGGTTCTTTTCCATCCCAGAAGTGAATTTATGATAATAGTGCCTTGTTATGTTTCTGTGATTGGTGCAGTTGGTTAAAGTCTGATGTTTCCCGGAAGTTTAGAGTGGAAGTCTATCTCCAAGCCCTTCTAAACCAATGCTATTATTGTACGCACTGGCAACTGGATGTTCAGACTTGTTCAAGGTCACACAATGTTGGTGGCGCAGCAAGGACTGGAATTCAAACTTTCTAATTCCCCATCTATACTTTTCCCTCAGCAGTGTAGTATGATAATGGGACTAAAAACATAGATCTAGAGCCAGGGTAAGCCCATTAGCTTGCCACTGCCTTGCCACTATCAACTGATGCCAGTGGGTCATTGATCTTTTCAGTGGGAGCCTCTGGTCACTTCCAGTGGGGTTGTGGGGAAAGCATAAAAGCAGACAGATACCCCCTTCTTTTGTTAACTCCATATTGACGCAGTTATACAACATGCAAGTATTATTCACAAAGAACTGTGAGTAAAGGAATAGGGTGGTTGGCTATTCAACAGAACTCTCCTACTGTGTTCTCCACAAGAGAGGGTCACCATATGAATGTGACAGTTATAATGTCCCTAGAGTGAGAGCTGGGCAACCAAGTTTCCTTTCTCCTTAGAAAACTGCCTACCACCTACAAATAACTATGAGTGACTAACAATAATCTTTACAATTGGTAGCTCTATGGCTCTTAGGAATAATGCAGAGGATGAATCAAACAAAAGGCTACTCTTAAGACAATTGCTGGCCAGCAAACCCAAACTGTGGAACATTCTAAAAATATCTAACCAGTACTCTTCAAATGCGCCAAAATTACAATAGAAAAGACTGGAGGAACCATCACAGATTGGAGGAGACTAAGGAGACTGACAACAAAATGCAAGGTGAGGCTGGCCACAGTGGCTCATGCCTGTAATCCCAGCACTTTGGGAAGCTGAGGTAGTGCGTGCCTTGAGCTCAGGAGTTTGAGACCAGCCTGGGCAAAGTGGAGAAACCCGGTCTCTACAAAAAATACAAAAATTAGCCAGACATGGGGGTGCACCCAGCTATTTGGGGGGCTGAGGCGAGAGGCTCACTTGAGCCAGGGAGGTCAAGACTGCAGTGAGCCATGATTGCACCACTGCACTCCAGCAACAGAGCTAGACCCTGTCCCAAAAAAACGAAAACAAAAAACAAACAAACAAATGCAATGTGAGACCCCAGACTGGATCCAAGATTAGAAAAAGGACATTGTGGAGAAACTGGTGAAATCTCAATAAAGATTTTAGTTTAATTAATAATATTGTGTTAATGTTAATTTCTAAATTTTGATAATTATACCATGATTGTGCAATATATTAGCATTAAAAAACTGGGGCTGGGCATGGTGGCTTACATCTGTAATTCCAGCACTTTGGGAGGCCGAGATGGGCAGATCTCTTGAACCCAGGAATTCAAGACTAGACCCTGCTTCTACAAAATACAAAAATTAGCCAGATGTGGTGGCGTGTACCTGTAGTCCCAGCTACTTGGGAGGCTGAGGTGGGAGAATCACCTGAGCCCAGGAAGTTGAGGCTGCAATGAGCCAAGATCCCGCCACTACACTCCAGCCTGGACAACAGTGTAAGATCCTGTCTCAAAAAAAAAAAAAAAAAATGGGTAAAGGATATATAGAGCTATCTGTACTGGTTTTGCAACTCTTTTTAAAAAATTATTTTAAATTAAAGAGTTTAAAAATACAAAATAACACTATACATTTTTCAGGGGTACAAATACATATTGTAAGTCTAGAAACACACATAGGAATGAAAAACAAATTCAAGACAGTGGATACCTCTGGATGCTTGGGAAGAGAGGATTAGACAACTGGGGAGGAGTACACAGGGGCTTCCATTTTATTGGTAATGTTTCATTTCTTAAGGTGGGTGATGGGAATACAGTATTCACTGTATTGTTTTGTATAATTTTGTGTATACCTGCAATATTTCCTTTAAAAATTGAATATATAGCTCAATGCCAAAATGAACATTTGTGATAAGGCCTTACCCTATTCCTTTGCATAGACTTCCCATTGAACAACTGCCAAAACCCGAGCCAAACTTGAGAAAGGTGAGTTGGTCAGCAGATTGTAAAGGACCTTGAATGCCTGCACTTTGTTCTAAGAGTAACAGATGCTATCAGAGGTTTTCAGCAGAGGAGGGATGTGGTCAGAGTCGTGTTTTGAGAAAATCACTCTGGTTACTGTGGAGAATGGATTGAATGGCATTTGAAAATAGAAACAAGGAGATAATTTAGGGAGGCTGTTGCAATAGTCCAGAATAAAGTTTATGAGGTCTAACTCAGGACAGTGGTGGTGGGCATAGACAGAAAGGGACAGATACAAGTGCTAAAAAGAAATAGAACAAGAATTGGAGAGGGATTGGATGTGTGGTAAGTGAAAAGGAAGACTCAAGGATGATGACTTTTCTAAACTTCTTTATGAAAGAGGAAATGCCCTTTGTGTCTTCAACAGACTGGGAGCTGCTTGAGGGTAGGAACTGTTCTTTCTTTGGCTCCTCCACACACCCAACTCTTGCCTTATGCCAGAGCTCACTAGTAAGGAAGGTTGGTAGGATCTGAAGAGGTGTTGGGTAAGATAGTCTGGGGCCAGAAGCAATAATATTCTGCTGCCCCGGCAAGGCTGTGGAGAAAAGGTGGCTCCTGCTGCTGGCTGGATGGGGCAAGCCTTTGAAGATCCAGGAAGAGGACCTGGAGCTAGAGATGAGTTGAAAGCTGGTATAAGTAAAGTAGAGCCAAGTGTGGTGGCTCATGCCTGTAATCCCAGCTACTCAGGAGGCTGAGGTGGGAGCATAGCTTGAGCCCAGGAGATTGAGTCCAGCTCGGACAACATAGTGAAACCTCATCTCTAAAAAACAAATGTAAGCCTAGGAAGGAATTTTGATAGCAAGGAGAGGATCACCAGAAAGAACAGAGGGAAGGCAGGGTGCTGTGGCTCACACCTGTAATCCCAGCATTTTGGGAGGCAGGAGGATCACCTGAGGTCAGGAGTTTGAGACCAGCCTGGCCAACATGGCAAAACCTCGTCTCTACTAAAAATGCAAAATAGCCGGGCGTGGTGGCAGGCGCCTGTAATCTCAGCTACTCGGGAGGTGAGGCAGGAGAATCGCTTGAACCCAGGAGACAGAGGTTGCAGTGAGGCGAGATCGTCCACTGCTCTCCAGCCTGGGCAGCAGAACGAGACTTCGTCCCCCCCGCCAAAAAAAAAAAAAAAAGAGTAGAGGGAAGAAAGTGGTATGAACAGAGGGCCACCTAAATCTTCCTGGATAAGGCATTGTTGCCTCAACTACTTGCTCTGCAGAGCAACAACCCTGATTTTTTTTTTTTTTTTTTTTTTTTTTTTTTTTTAATGGAGACAGGGTCCTGCTATGTTGCCCAGGCTGATCTCAAACTCCTGGGCTCAAGCTATCCTCCACCTTGGTCTCCCAAAGTGCTGGGATTCCAGGTGTGAGCCACCACACCCGACCACAACCTTGATTCTTAATGGTGGATGGGAAGTGCTTCTAGTACTAAATCACTACATGGTGATTCACTGATTTGATTAGTCTATTTTTTTTTTTTTTTTTGAGACAGTCTCACTCCGTCATCCAGGCTAGAGTGCAGTAGCATGATCTTGGCTCACTGCAACCTTCGCCTCCCAGGTTCAGCTGAGACTACAGGTGTGTACCACTATGCCCAGCTAATTTTTTTTTTTTTTTTTTGTATTTTTAGTAGAGATGGGGTTTCACCATGTTGGCCAGGCTGGTGTCAAACTCCTGACCTCAAGTGATCTGCCCACCTTGGCCTCCCAAAGGGCTGGGATTACAGGCATAAGCCACTGCACCTGGCCCTAGTTTGATTTAATGATTTTAATTAATTCCAATCTACCACGATACCACACAGAGATTGCTGAAAACCGAGCCACTAAAATCATACTTAAAAACACATAGTAGCACTTTATTCATTTTTTCAGTAACTTATTCAAAATAATTTTTATTGAGCATCTGTCTTATATGCTCTAGTCCAAGTGCTGAATTATGAAACTTACTATCTAAAGGACAGAGAATGAGTAAGTATTTACAAGTATGATAAATGACACCAAAGAAAAATATAAGGCATTAAAGGCCATATAATAGGAAGGTCTAATTGTGTCTTCAGGTCAAAGAAAGCTTCCTTCAGAAGTAATGTTTAAGCTGAAAGCTGAGTAGAAGTTAGTTAGATAAGCGCTGGGAAATGGGTGGGAAGACAATGGAAGTCGGCATGTGTGAAGGCCTAGAGGCTTTAAGCAGCCAAATTTTGTCCAGGGAACTGAAGGGTGTTTAATATTGACTGAAGCACAGAGTATGGGACGCAAGAAGAAACAGAGCTTGTTGGAGGTCAGTTCATTTAGGACTTTGTGGTCATGCTGGAGTATTCACAGATCCTCTGGGCCTGGCTTTGTTCTCAGTATGAGGAATACATAGAATCGAATCAGATCTTAATGCTCTTTAATCCAAGGCCTTAAATAGCTCACAATCAGGTAGGATAGACACATTTTGACAATGGTAGTGCAGCATGATAAATATGATAATAAAGAACTGATTTTCATGGGAATTTATAGGAGTGATAATTAAGAAATAACATTATTCCATCAATTGCCTTTTAAGTTATTTCACATTGCTTCCAAATTCTTACTAAACAAGCCAATTGTAAGACTAAGTTTAGATTAATGTTACTTTTAGACACACAGAAAAATGATTTAGCCATTTAGGCTAAAAAGCAATTTCTATTACAGTTCTTGCTCTTGCTTTTTGCCTCTATACTACATCTTTCTTTTTCTTTTTTTTTTTTTTTTTGAGATGGAGTCTCACTCTGTGGTCCAGGTTGGAGTGTAGTGGTGTGATCTCGGCTCACTACAACCTCTGCCTCCCAGCTTCAAGCAATTCTCGTGCCTCAGCCTCCTGAGTAGCTGGGACTACAGGCATGTGCCACCACGCCCGGCTAATTTTTGTATTTTTCATAGAGATGGGATTTTACCACGTTGGCCAGGCTGGTCTCGAACTCCTGACTTCAGTGATCCGTCCACCTCGGCCTCCCAAAGTGTTGGGATTATAGGCATAAGCCACTGCGCCTGGCTAATACTACTTCTTTCTTTTCAACTCTCACTTATCCTTTAAGACTCTGGTGAGCTTTCCCCCTTCCACTTTACCTCAAGTAGAGTTAGAAATCTTTCCCTCTATGTCCCTGAAGGACCCTGGGATCTCTATTATAGCACTTATCACAATATACTACAAGTGTTTATTTTCCTGTATCCCCTCTAGGCTTTTATTTCCCCCAATAGAGTTCTGTATTTTTTTATTTTTTAAGAAAAAGGGTCTTGCTCTATTGCCCAGACTGGGGTGCAGGGGCACAATCATAGCTTACTGTAATTACTCATGGGCTCAAGAGATCCTCCCACCTCAGCCCCCTGAATAGCTAAGACTACAACCACACACCACCATGCCAGCTAATTTATTTATTTTTGTAGAGATGGGGTCTTGCTATGTTGCCCAGGCTGGTCTTGAACCTTTGGCCTCAAGTGATCCTCTTGCCTGGGCCTCCCAAAGCACTGGGATTATAGGAATGAATAGTGCCTGGCCTCCCACTAGACTTAAGCATAGAGATTTTGTCTTGCTCATGCTTCAATCTGTCATTCGATAAATATGTGTCAGGTACCTACTATATGCCAGACATCAGGCTAGGTGCTGCAGATTCAGTGACGACCTGGATAGACTCAGTTCTTGCTCTTGTAGAGCTTATAGTCTAGTGCAGAAGGTTGACAAGCAAATGGGCAAGAAGAGTATGTATGAAAAATGTTATGATGAGGAAAGTGTCAAGTGCCATGGGAAGCCCAGAGCAGGTGTACCTAACTTTCTTTAGGGGGCAAATGGAAGTCTTTCAGAAGGAAGCAATTTAAGCTGAGAATTGAAGAAAAAGTACAAGTTAGTTAGTCAATGTGGCAGTCATGGGTCAGAGGTGGGAGAGAGCACAACACATTCCAGAAACTGAAAGAGGACTGGGCACGGTGGCTCATGCCTATAATCCCAACACTTTGGGAGGCTGAAGTGGGAGGATTGCTTGAGTCCAGGAGTTTGAGACCAGCCTGGGCAACATAGCTAGATTTTATCTCTCCAAAAACATATTAAAAATTAGCCAGGTGTGATGATGGGCACCTGAAGTCCTACGTACTCAGGCTGGAGGCTGGAGGCTGAGGCAGGAGGCTCATTTGAGCCCAGGAGTTCCAGGCTACAGTGAACTATGATCATGCCACTACTCTCCAACCTGAGTGACAGGGTGAGACCCTGTCTCCAGCAAAACAAAACAAAGAAATTCACAGAGCAGTCGAGGTTAGGGGCAAGCAGTGAAGATTGTGTGAAGTGGGGTGTGGCCGGGGTGAGGAAAACAGAGATTGGTGTTTAGTGTGATAATTATACACATAGAAAACTCTATGTAAAGTGTTTGTTAAATGAATGGATGAGCCATTCCAAAACCTGAGAAAGAAAGACATTTGGGAAAAGCAAATTTGTTTGTGATTGTTCATTCCTTTGTTCACTGGGAGGCATTGTAGTGTGTTGGCTAAAAGTCTGGACTCACACCAACTGCTTGGGTTTGAATCCTGGCTTTGACAGTTAATAGCTGAGTGACCTTAGACAAATTACATAACTTTTCTATGTGCCATTTTCCTCATCTGTAAGAGAGAAATGATAATAATTCATAGAATTGTCATGAAGATTAAACAAGTTAATAATATTTGTAAAGCACTTGGAATAATGCCTAGAATTAAGCACTGACTGTTTGCTATTATTATTCCTCCATTCATTGAAACATTTATTGAGGGCCAAGTACCATGCTAGGTGCTGTGAAAATATGTGGCTTCAGCCATGGAGGAGGACCATAAAATCTGGTGAGGGAGAAGATTCATAAATAAGCAATTACAACACAATGTGATCAAGTGAGGCGATAGTGGTAAATCCTGCAGAACTGAACAAGACAGAGTGACTCATTCTCTCCAAAGAAGCCAAGGGAAGCTTCAGAGAGAAGAATGTATTTAAGTTGGGTGACGCAGAATGAACAGAGTTTGGCAGCAGACAAAAGCAGTATGGTTTATCAGGCCAAGGAAGCACCATGTTGCAAAGGTTTAGTAGGATGCAAGTCTAAGGCATGTTTAGGAAATGGCAAGGGGGTCTTGAGCACCTGTTATGTGCCAGGGTCTGTGCTAGGCACTTTTTATATGTTCTTTCACTTTCCATAAGAACTTAAGAGGTGAGAATTATGGTCTACATTTTTTATGAGAAGGTGATCTGAAAGATTGAGAGACTTGCTCAAGATCGTGGAAAGCAGTGGGTCTAAATTTGAATCCAAATCTATGTGACTCTAAGGTCTGTGTTCTTTGAGGAAAGGATGGGGCCTGACAATGACCTTGTGAAGTTTTTAGTGTAGCTAAAAGTACAATACTTTTATTTATTCCTTTATTTTTTAGAGTGAGGGTCTTACGCTATTTCCCAGGCTGGAGTGCAGTGGCGCAGTCATAGCTCACTGCAGCCTCAAACTCCTGGGCTCAAGCGAGCCTCCTATCTCATCCTCCCGAGTAGCTACGACTATAGGCATGCATCACCATGCCCAGCTAATTTTTAATATTTTTTTGTAGAGACAGAATCTTGTTTTGCTGCCTAGGCTTGTGTTGAACTCCTGGCCTCAAGCAATCCTTCCTCCTTGGCCTTCCAAAGTGCTGGGATTACAGGTGTGAGCCACCACTCCCGGCCCAATATTTTTATTTTAAATTTTAATAATGTTGGATGGCAATCTTGTTAAGTAGGCACTTGGTATTTCTCAGTCGTCATAAATGGAAAAAACTGACCTTAAATTAAACTTTTTTTTTTTCAATATTCAGTTTCTTTTAATGATCCCCATCTCCTTAAAGAACAGGTACAGGAAGCAAGGCAATGGCAAGAGCTGTTTACTTGAAGATCTTGCCCTGACTGAAGTTAGCCCACATGCTGGAAGGCCCTTTTCCAGGAACAGTACTCACAAACCAGTGTCTGGGTCTCCTTGCTGCCAGGATCCAGTTTCTGCCACGTGTATGACTCGAAGACCACCTGCCAATCTGGACTCAGTGTCAAGGCCTGTGAAGACCCAGGCTCCAGAAATGGAGCTGATATTGTTGCTTCCAAAGAGGATGGCACTGGCAAAGGCATTCTTTCTCAGTTTGTTCAACTGCTGGAACATTCCAGCGATGAGATTGCAACTCCAGAAGGTCTGGGTGAGCTTCTCAGGAAAGCAATACTCAGACCAACCATCCTTATCAGAGTGCTCCCGAAAATACGGCAGCACCACATTGTGTCCTTATAGGAGTACTTGTGCTTAAATTCATCCATCACAAAGGTACTCGGGCAAGTGAGCAAAGGGGTCTTGGCTATCCGATGCTCAGCAGCCAGTGCCTGCTCACATTCATCCATCTCCTCAGGAGCAGGGTCAGCCGCCTTTTTCTCCTTTCTGTTCAGCCTAGGGCTTCTGCTTTTCTTCCCGTGAACTTTTCTCCTGTGGGGTGTCCTTTTTAGGCCTGCTCTCTGCAAATATTTTAGCATCAAATAGGGCCATTTTCTCCTATCATTTTACTTCCCCCAAGACAGCCTGGAACTGGGGCTGGTTAATGCAGGTGAGAAAGTTAGTATCATGACCACTATTTGTGATTCTGTGATGTTCTGTGTTAATATCCTGAGGGTTTGTTAGGGGATTTCCCTTTTATACGTGTGTTTCCCAAATTGTCTTTTGAGGAGCCCTGGGGTGCCCTAGCTAACTGAGGGCTCTAGAGGATATTTTGACATTTTAGGAGAAATACAAGCTGGGCGCAGTGCCTCATGCCTGTAATCCCAGCACTTTGGGAGACCCAGGAGGGTGCATCACTTGAGGCTAGGAGTTCCAGACCAGCCTAGACAACAAGGCAAAATCCCGTCTCTACAAAAATCAGTTGGGCATGTTGGCGCACACCTGTAACTCCAGCTACTTGGGAGGCCAAGGCATGAGAATGGTTTGAACCTAGAAGGTAGAGGTTGTAGTGAGCTGTAATCGCGCCACTGCACTCCAGCCTGGGTGAGACAGCGAGACTCCATGTTAAAGAGAGAGGGAGAAGGGAGAGGGGAGAAGGGAGAGGGGAGAGGGGAGAGGGAGATTCAATATATGTCTGATACCACACAAGCTTGAGTTCAAGGTTTAAACATGTCTCTGGATGATGTCATGTCTTTTTGAAGCTGAGTTTTCAGAGGTTGCTGTAATAAAAAGCAAGTACCAAGTGAAAATCACTGTGGAACAATAAATGACTGTAGCAGCATACGATGAGATCCCAAAGTTTGAGAAGGGAATTGCTAAACAGGCACATACATCCCTTAGCACATAATTATGAATATTTAAGAATAAAAACTGGCTGGGCACAGTGGCTCATGCCTGTAATCCCAGCAATTCTGTTACCAGTGGAAGGTGCCCAGATTCTTGGCTTCTTGAAAAAATTGGACAAAACACACAAATAAAGCAAGGAAAGAATGAAGCAAGAAAAGCAGAGATTTACTGAAAACGAAAGTACACTCCATAGTGTGGGAGCAGGCCAAGCATATGGGTTCAGGAAACTGGTTACCCAATTTTCTGGGATTTAAATACCCTCTAGAGGCTTCCCATTGGTTACTTGAGGTACACCCTATGTAAATGAAGAAGTGGCCTGTGATTAATCTGATTGGTTGCAGAAGGCAACCAATCAGAGGCTGAAGTGACGTTACAAAGTTAAACCAATCTGATTGGTTGCTTTCTGCAACCAATCAGAGATGGAAGTGAAGTTACAAAGTTAAACCCATGCAAACATCTGATTGGTTGCAGAAGGTGACCAATCAGAGGCTGAAGTGAAGTTACAAACTTATACTCCTATGCAAATGAAAACTTGGCCTGAGACCAGCCTGATTGGTTGCAGAAGAGGACAAATCACAGGTACTTTCAGTTTTTCATCTGCCAGGCAGAAAAGTGGGGGATGCAAAGGGAGTAGCCTCTGGTCCTTTTGTTACTTGGGTGTGGTAAGTTGGAGTTTTCCCTTTGACTTAGTTCTAGGAAGTCAGAATGAATCGGACTTATGTTCCCTGCTTTCAGACCCTGTAGTGTGTAGTGCCTCACTTTGGGAGGTCGAGGTGGGTAGATCACTTGAGGTCAGGAGTTTGAGACCAGCCTGGCCAACATGGCAAACTCCATCTCTACAAAAAGGCGGAGGTTGCAGTGAGCCGAGACTACACCACTGCGCTACAGCCTGGGTGACAGGGCAAGACTCCATCTCAAAAAAAAAAAAAAAAAAATGCTGGGCATGGTGGCTGTAATCCCAGCACTTTGGGAGGCCGAGGCGGGTGGATCACCTGAGGTCAGGAGTTCGACACCGGCCTGGCCAAATGACAAAACCCCATCTCTACTAAAAATGCAAAAATTAGCTGGGTGTGGTGGCACACGCCTGTAATCCCAGCTACTCAGGAGGCTGAGGCAAGAGAATCACTTGAACCCGGAGGCGGAGGTTGCAGTGAGCTGAGATGGTGCCACTGCACCCCAGTCTGGGTGACAGGGCAAGACTCCATCTCAAAAAAAAAAAAAAAAGAAAGAAATGAATAAAAACTTATGTAATTATTATTTCAAATGGTTAGTAAATTATTAGGATGTAAATACTGATTAAGTTGTTTGGACTTAACTACTTAATAAAGAGAATTATTACTTTGGTTTTTTTGTAGGAGGAGTGGGCATGGAGAAGTCACCATGAAAAAATTACTGAGACACTAAAGGTGCCTTTGAGCTGAGAAAGTTTGGGAACCTCTGTCTTACACAGTTGGATCCTAGATTGCTCTGTTTTCTCCGCTTTTTTTGGTTGGTTTGCTTCTTTGCTACATCTCATCAGTACTGTTACCAATGCGCCCTCTCTATACTCACAGAGTACTTACAAATGCAGGCACCTCATATATATTAACTTATTTAATCTTTATGACCAACTGTGCAAAATAGCTATTATTATTATTCCCATTTTACAGATGAGGAAATTGAAGCTAAAAGGTTAAATACTTCAAAGTCATACAGTTAGGAAGCAGCAGCACAGGATTCAAAGACTCAGTTTGACTCCAGAATCTGTGCTTTTAACTATCTTATTCTGGCCTCCCAACCCCCACCCATTAATTGTTAATTTTGATCTGCTATAGACATGGAAACTAAATATCCAAGCTTGTTGGAACTACATGTAAAGCAAGAGCTGAAAGTCACTACTGGGAGAAAAGTGCATGAACTCTACAGTATGTGCGGTCTGCACAAGACTGAGCAGCATAAAATGCTCAAAAATAACTCCTTCCGGCCAGGCGCGGTGGCTCACGCCTGTAATCCCAGCACTTTGGGAGGCCGAGGCGGGCAGATCACCTGAGGTCAGGAGTTCGAGACCAGCCTGGCTAACATGGTGGAACTCTGTTTCTATTAAAAATGCAAAAAATTAGCCAGGCGATTTGGTGTGTGCCTGTAATCCCAGATACTCAGGAGGCTGAAACAGGAGAATTGCTTGAACCCAGGAGGCTGAGGTTGCAGTGAGCTGAGATCATGCCATTGCACTCCAGCCTGGGCGACAAGAGTAAAACTCCGTCTCCAAAACAAAACAAAACAAAACAAAACATAAAAAACCTCCTTCCCTCTGACTTCCCCAGCTGCTGTAGCCAGCAAAGGTGGGGGTGGGAGTGGGTGGATATTTATTGAATTACACAGGATGTCTCAGGCTCTCCATGTTTCTCCGGGGGTCATGTTTCTCCGAGGGTCCATGTTAAACTCGGGTCTTCCAACCAGCAAGTTACTGTTCTATGGAAACAAAAAAGTTTAAAATGCTCCCTTCACTGTAAGAGAGGACAAAAGTGGACAGAAAATGCAATACAGATACATGACAAAAACAGGATTACCTAGAGGTAGGCAGGCCCATATTAATTCACAAGGAGAAATGTCATTTCAGGGGCAATAGGAAATAAGAAGCGGAAGTTTTGCAGACCTACTGGAGAAAGCAAACTTCCTCAGAAACAAGATTAAGACTGTACTTAAAGTGAACCTTGAGCATATACAACCATGGTGACTTAGATGAATATCCTGGACAGAAAAGAATCAGCAGAATTTGGATAGTGGAAGAAGGAAAGTTCAGCTCAGATCAGAGGAACTCGTATTGGTTAAGAGGTTTCCCTAACTTTCTAGGGAGGAGGAACTGAAAGTTTAAAACAGAACCTACTAAGCCACCTTTGGAGATCTTTATACAGATTTCTGCATAAATCAATCAATGGGTAGTAAACTGTATGCTTTCATTTCAGACTTGGGTTCAACCTTTCTCAGTGAAAGATTTTCTTTTTTTTTTTTTTGAGATGTAGTCTCACTCTGTCACCCAGGCTGGAGTGCCATGGCGCGATCTCAGCTCACTGCAACCTCTGCCTCCTGGGTTCAAGCGATTCTCCTGCCTCAGCCTCCCAAGTAGCTGGGATTACAGGTGCCTGCCACCACACCCGTGTAATTTTTCTATTTTTAGTAGAGATGGGGTTTCACCATGTTGTCCAGGCTGGTCTTGAACTCTTGACCTCAGATGATCTGCGCCCCTTGGCCTCCCAAAGTGCTGGGATTACAGGTGTGAGCCACTGCGCCTGGCCTCAGTGAAAGATTTTTCATAAAAAGCTCACAAAAACTTTTTGTGAAGAATCCCCCTATGTGGTGATTTCTAGATAGCAACCTGGATGGCCAGACCCCACCTGATGTGCAGTCAAAATTCTGATTCCCAGAATGGACAAAATGAGAGGAAATCCTTTTTTAGTCTGAGTGTAATATACAAACTTCCTGACAATGCTGAGGATGTTCAGAGTGCTTGCTTATGAAACTGCTTGAGAGCTGGATTCTGGATAGGTGGCATTTATAGCAACATTATGTCCCAGATTTCCGAGGACAGCCCAGATTTCAAATATCCTATCTTATTGTAATTATAAGTAGGCTTAGACTTCTGCTCTTATGTATCCTGATTTGGATAGAATGAGGAAAATATGGGCATAATATAAGTGATCCTTTCGTGGAGTGTATGATGAGGATAAATACCAGAAGGAAGTCATGGTGGGGTCTAGAAGTATTAACAGTGGTCTACTAAGATTATTCCTTGGTAACATGGTGTGAAAAAAAAAAAGCTATATTTGGCGTGAAACAGGCAGAAAGAAACTCCTGCAAATTCAGGGATGGCATGTGTGCCATTTGAAGAGAATAGAAGAGCCCAGGGGTGAGAAGTTTGGGGACAAAAAAAGAGGCTACTCCTAGGAAAGGTCAGCTGTGTCCCCTTGAGAGAGGAGGAAAGGACTAAAAGTCTGAGACAATCCGGCGGGGTCGGGGTGGGGGATTAGAAAAAAGTTACACAAACACTCAGCCAAGAGAGAGGGGAGAGAGAGAAAGGAAGAATATTAAAAGTAAAGCTTAGAAAGAAATTTACAAGATAGACTCAGGAGGGCACACTTAGCAAGAGGAGAGAGACAGTTGGGGGAGGAGAGGATACGAAGAGAGGCTAGGGAGAACAAGAAGAGGAGAGAGAGCGAATGAAGTGGGGGGAGCCGGAGCATGTATGGGCGAGAGAGGTGGTGAGAAGCTTGCAATTTCTCTTGAGATTGTGGATGTCTGGAGGGCCCCAGAGGAATGTTGGGAGAGATCTAAGGCTGGGATCTCTGGAACTAGACCAAAGACTCTACAAACAAGAAAAATTTTGAGCTGCAGCTCTAAATCTGCTAGAACTGGCGATCCCTTCAGGGATCCCTTAGAAGTCCTCCCTCCAAAGCTGTGAGTGATCTTATTCTCTGGGGAACTTTAGAGACACCCAGCAAGACAGTTTGTTGATGTTGTATAACCTTAAGAAAATTTCTCTTTAAAATATTGTTGGCTTGCAAGGTGGAGGTACTTAGCTGACTAAAAGGTATGTTTCTTGGGTTCTTGGGGATGTCAAGGGAAGTAAAGTGTGTGAACCCCTCCCCACAAAATCTGAGACTTTATGCTACCAGGCAATATTTAGTTTTCAAAGGAAAATACATGTGTGGATGCTATAGCCCTTGCCCAGAGATTCTGAGAAACTTATCGTTTTTAAAGCTTAAGGACATTTAGTTGGTTTTCTCTCCCACATAATAGGGTAAGTGGAATTTAGTACAAACCTCTTAAAAAGCAATTTGGCAGTGCATATCAGGAACCTTTTAAATTTTCACACTACTTGATATAGAAATCCCACATCTGAGAATTTTCTCTGAGGAAATAACCTTATAGTGCTTTATGCATTTATGCAAAAAGCATTATTTATAATAGAAGAAAATTAGAAGTAACTTAAATGCCCAACAATAAGGGACTGGTTAAGCAAACTCTGGCACCTTCTCTTAATGCAGTATTTTGCAGATGCTAAAACTGTATTTATAAAACATTCTTAAGATATGGGAAAATGCAGCAAAATATTAAGTAAAAAATTATAGACAAAATATGATCTCAACCATGTTAAAAGGCATTTAAAAAAGACTGGAAGGAAATATGCCAAAAAGTTATTTAAATTGGTGAGCTTAAAATAATGGAGTTACAGATTATTGTTATCATTATTTTTTCTTTATGTTTTCCTATGTTTTCTAGATTTTCTGTAAAAGACCTTTAATACTTTTATAATCAGAAAAAGTTTAATTTTAAAAGTTTAAAAACATCAGGCAACTAAACGTTTACACACATAAAAGTCATTTTGATAAAAATAATTTTTTTAGGCCGGGCACGGTGGCTCATGTCTATAATCCCAGCACTTTGGGAGGCAAGACAGACGGATCACTTGAAGCCAGGAGTTCGAGACTAGCCTGGCCAACATAGTGAAACCCCGTTTCTATTAAAAATACAAAAATTAGCCAGGCCTGGTGGTGCATACCTGTAATCCCAGCTACTCGGGAGGCTGAAGCACGAGAGTCACATGAATCTGGGAGATGGAGGTTGCAGTGAGCCAAGATGGTGCCACTGCACTCCAGCCTGGGTGACAGAGCGAGACTCTGTCTCAAAAATAACAATAACAATAATAAATTTTAAAATTTTATATTCTTGCATTGCTATAAGTTAAAAATAATTTTACAAAAGTTTTAGGAGTAAAAGGCTAACGAAAACAAAACAAAGTGTTAAAAGGAATAAAATGAAATTTAACCTCTGGAAAAACAGGTATTTATGAAAGCTATAGAACAACATGAAAAATGCTTATGATTTAAGGTGAAATGAAAAGAGGCCAAAATAATTATGATTACAGCCATCCAGTTTAGCACCTTTAAGCAATCATACTCAGCCCCACAGCATGCAGTAGGCACCCAGTAAAAGGAATTTCCCTACACATATTGCCATTCCTGCTGTATTAGTCTGTTCTCACACTGCTAATAAAGACATACCTGTGACTGAGTAATTTATAAAGGAAAGAGGTTTTTAAAAAAATTTCATTTTATTTTAGATGGAGTCTTGCTCTGTCGCCAAGCTGGAGTGCAGTGGCGCAATCTTGGCTCACTGCCACCTCCACCTCCCAGGTTCAAGCCATTCCCCTGCCTCAGCCTCCCAAGTTGCCAGGACTACGGGTGCAAGCCACCACGCCTGGCTAATTTTTTATATATATTTTTTAGTAGAGACGGGGTTTCACCATGTTGGCCAGGATTGTCTCGATCTCCTAACCTCATGATCTGCCCGCCTCGGCCTCCCAAAGTGCTGGGATTACAGGCGGTGAGCCACCGCGTCCGGCCAGGAAAGAGGTTTAATTGACTCACAGTTCAGCATGGCTGGGGAGGCCTCAGGAAACTTACAGTCATGGAGGAAGGGGAAGCAAATCCTTCTTCACGTGGCAGCAGCAAGGAGAAGTGCCAAGCAAAACAGGGAAAAGCTCCTTATAAAACCATCAGATCTCGTGAGAAATCACTCACTGTCACAAGAACAGCATGAAGGTAACTGCCTCCATGATTCGATTACCTCCCAATGGATCCCTCCCATGACACATGGGATTATGGGAACTACAATTCAAGGTGAGATATGGGTGCGGACATAGAGCCAAACTATATCATCTGCTGTGGCTAGCTCTCTTAGTCTCTTTGGCTGCTGCAACAAAATACCTTAGTCTGGGTATTATAAACAATAGAAATGTATTGCTCACAGTTCTGGAGGCCATAGAGTCCAAGGTCAACGTGCCAGCGGATTCAGTGTCTGAAGAAGCCTTACTCTCTGCTTCAAAGATGGCACTTTCTTGCTGCACCTTCACATGGTGAAAGGGGCAAGACAGTTTCCTTCCACCTCCTTTTATAACGACACTAATCCCATTCATGAGGATGAAACCTTCATGACTTAATCACTTCCCAAAAGACCCCATTTCTTAATACTATCTCATTGGGTATTAGGTTCCAAAATACGAATTTTGGGGGGACACCAACATTCAGCCTATAGCACTCTTTTTTATTTTTAGAGATGGAGTCTTGCTCTGTCACACAAGCAGGAGTGCAGTGCACAATCACAACTCTCACTGCAGCCTCAAACTCCTAAGTTCAAGGGATCCTCTTGCCTCAGTCTCCTGAGTAGCTGGGACTACAGGCACATGCTACCACGCCTGGCTAGCCTATAGCACTAATTTTTAATTTTTGTGGGTACATAGTAGGGGTATATATTTATGAGTTACATGAAATATTTCGATACAGGCATGCAATGTGTAATAATCTCACAGGGTAAATGGGGTATCTATCACCTCAAGCATTTATCCTTTGTGTTACAAACAATCCCATTTTACTTTTAGTTATTTTTAAATGTACAATTAAATTATTTTGACTATAGTCACCCTGTTGTGCTAGCAAATACTAGGTCTTAGCCATTCTTTCTATGTTTTTGTATATATGAATCCTCTCCACTTCCGTGGCCCTTTCTATAGCACTCCTGAACTTTTCCACCTTTGTATCTTTGCTCTTTGCTTCCTTCTTTTTTCCCCCCCTTGAGACAGGGTCTCACTTTGTGGCCCAGACTGAAGTGTAGTGGTGCAATCATAGCTCACTGTAATGAACTCCTAGGCTCAAGTGATCCTCCCGCCTCAGCCTCTGGAGTAGCTTAAACTACAGGGGTGTGCCACTACACCCGGCTAATTTTTTCAATTTGTATTTAGAGACTGGGTCTCACTATGTTGCCCAAGCTGGTCTCAAACTCCTAGGCTCAAGCAATCCTCTCACCTTGGCTTCCCAAAGTGTTGGGATTACAGGCAGGACCACTGTGCCCGGCCTGCTTGCTCATTTTGACACATACTTCTGACTTGGTTTTTATTTAAATTTTGTCTTGCTCCTGCCAAAATAAGTTTACTGACTACTTTTGTCTCTCCAGATCTGACCTAGACCATTGTACTCTCCTATCAGCATAGGCCAGCTGCCTCATCTTGAAGAGCTGTTAAAATAAAAAGAAAAAAGAGAATGGTAGGAAATCCAGTATACCAAATAGCACTATGGTGGGATTGTGGGTAGTTTATGTCATTTTTCTATAGGTTCAAAATTTTGCAATGTGGTTATGTTATTTTAAATAAAAATATTTGAAGTTTACTGAAGTCACTCATCAAGTGCTTTCATAGATAACTATTGAATTTTCTTCCCTTTCATGATTTCCAAGGATGAATATAAAACTGATATTCCTCTAGCCAACAAGATATGGGGTTTGAGATCCTATCTGGGTCAGAGAATCTGTTCTCCATCTTCCTCCCTTCAAAGCCAACTCTGCACTGCCCCCAGTTTACTTTCCAAAACAGAGATACAAGCATATATTTCCCCTACTTCAAAACTTTGAATGCTCCCCCAGTGTTTGCAGGATCAAGTCCAAGTGACTTAATATGGCTCCCAAGACCTTTTTTTTTTTTTTTTTTTTTTTTTTTGAGACGGAGTCTCACTCTGTTGCCGAGGCTGGAGTGCAATGGCGTGATCTCAGCTCACTGTACCTCCAACTCCTGGGTTCAAGTGATTCTCCTGCCTCAGCCTCCTGAGTAGCTGGGATTACAGGCGCCTACCACCACATCCGGCTAATTTTTGTATTTTCAGTAGAGACGGGGTTTCACCATTTTGGCCAGGCTGGTCTCAAACTCCTGACCTCAGGTCATCTGCCCACCTCAGCCTTCCAAAGTGCTAGGATTACAGGCGTGAGCCACGGCACCGGCCCTTTTACAATCTATTGTCATTCCATCTCTCCAACTTTATCTCCCAGTTGTCTGCAAACCACTTTTTCTTCCTCTCTGTATGTGATATCAGACTACTTGCCATTCCTTAAACATTTATTATATGTTTAACATATATTAACTATTAACATTTTTCACTTTTTTTTTTTAGATGAAGTCTCACTCTGTCGCCCAGGCTGGAGTGCAGTGGCATGATCTTGGCTCACTGCAACCTCTGGTTCCTGGGTTCAGGTGATTCTCCTGCCTCAGCCTCTCAAGTAGCTGAGACTACAGGCCTGCACCACCACGCCCGGCTAATTTTTGTATTTTTAGTAGAGACGGAGTTTCACTATGTTGGCCAGGCTGGTGTCAAACTCCTGACCTCAAGTGATCCACCTGCCTCAGCCTCTCAAAGTGCTGGGATTACAGGCATGAGCCACCATGTCCGGCCCATTTTTCACATTTTTATTGACATAAAACATTTGTACAGTGAGGAGTATAAAATTTAAGTGTATAACTCAGTGGATGTTCACATAAGTATACACGTGTGACCATGACTCAGTAAGATCTAGTTAATTTCCAATTCTCTAGAAGGCTCCCATATCTTTTCCTGTCCATATCTATACCTCCACAGAGATAACCACTATTCTGACTTCTACCAACAAAGATTAATTTTTCCTGTTCTTGAATTTCAAAAAATGGAAACACACCATACGTATTCATCAAAACACAGTACCTTTTTAATTTTCTCCTGCCTGAGAATAGGAGTGTTAAGTATTTGTCATGTGTCAATTCTCTCCTATTCTGCATCCATTGTAGACATTACTAATTCACTAATTTTTCTTGTTGTGCCTAGGTTGGGCTTTAGGCTCTTTTTCTAAACTGCACACCAGCAGCCACTACTAGTTGTTCAGAACTGAAACAACTAGTTGGTACTAGTGAAATCTCCCTGGAGGAGAATGACCTCTTCTACATGAAAACCTTCATCTCCACCACCCACAACACATTTAATAAATTATTTAAGTCTTAACTGATTCTATCACTAATATCTCTCTAATCTGCCCCTTTTCCCACTCCAACTGCTTCTTTTTTTGTTTGTTTGTTTTGAGTGCAGTGGCGCGATCTTGGCTCACTGCAACCTTTGTCTCCTGGGTTCAAGCGATTCTTGTGCCACAGCCTCCCGAGTAGCTGGGATTACAGGTGCACACCACCATGCCTGGCTAATTTTTTATTTTTAGTGGAGATGGGGTTTCACCATGTTGGCCAGGCTGGTCTCCAACTCCTGACCTCAAGTGATCCACCCACCTCGGCCTCCCAAAGTGCTGGGATTACAGGTGTGAGCCACCGTGCTGGCCTATTGCTCCTATTTATATAATCTCTCACCTGATTTTCTGCAGTAATCCCTTACTGTTTCCTCTGCTTTCAGTTTGGCTCTTCTATTCTTTTCCACACACTGCTGTTTCCTCTCCAGAAGAAAACAGCATATTTTAAATATCCAAATATAACTACATCATTATCCTGGGTAAGACCCTTGAAGGACTACCTTTCCAGTTAAGCATAAGTGCTTAGCATGGTATTACTGGCCTCATGATCTTGCCCCGCTCATCTCAGTACCATTTTCTATACCTTGCCCCTCCACCCCTAGATGCTAACTACCTGCAGGTTCCTGAATTGTGCCCTGCCCCTTTTCTCTTCTGTGTCTTGAATGCTGTTTGCTCTACCTGGCTAAGTCCACTCACCCTTCAAGACTCAAATGTCTTTTACTATCTTTTTTTTTTTTTTTGAGACAGGGTCTCACTCTGTCACCCAGGCTGGAGTCCAGTGGTACCATCTTGGCTCACTGCAGCCTGTCCTTCCTGGGCTCAAACGATCCTCCCACCTCAGCCTCCTGAGTAGCTGGGACCACAGGCACATGCCACTATGTGCCTGGCTAATTTTCTGTATTTTTAGTAGAGATGGGGTTTCGCCATGTTGCCCAGGCTGGTCTCGAACTCCTGGACTCAAGCGATCTGCCCGCCTTGGCCTCCCAAAGTGCTGGGATTACAGGTATGAGCCATCGCACCCGGCCCCAAATTTTTGTTGATCATTCTTTAGCTACTAAAGTTATTCTCTCCCCGGCAAAATCAATTATCTCTTATTTGTGTACTCATAATACTTTATACATATCCTTATTGTGGCAGTTATATTATTATCTGTTTATATTTCTGAGAGATCCTTGATGGGATAGAACTTTGTAGCTCCAGAACTCATCAGACTGCATAACATTTTCCTCTAATTTAAAAAATTGTGGTAAGGGCCAGGTGCAGTGGCTCATGCCTATAATCCCAGCACTTTGGGAGGCAGAGGCCAGAGGATTGCTTGAGCCCAGAAGTTCAAGACCAACTTGGGCAATATAGTGAGACCTTGTCTCCTATCCAAAAAATTAAAAAATTGAGGAGAGAAGATGGCTGGAGGCTGGGAGATCAAGGCTACAATGTGCTGTGATTGTGCCTCTGTCTGGATGACACAGCAATACCCTGCCTCAAAAAAAAAGTGGTAGAAATACACATAACATAAAATTTACTACGTTGGCCGGGTGCAGTGGCTAATGCCTATAATCCCAGCACTTTGAGAGGCCAAGGTAGGCGGATCACCTGAGGTCAGGAGTTCAAGACCAGCCTGGCCAACATGGTGAAACCCCATCTCTGCTAAAAATACAAAATTAGCCGGGTGTAGTGTCACGTGCCTGTAATCCCAGCTACTTAGGCAGGAGAATCACTTGAACCCAGGAGGCGGAGGTTGCAGTGAGCTGAGATCACGCCACTGCACTCCAGCTTAGGTGACAAGAGTGTAACTCTGTCTCAAAAAAAAAATTACTATATTAATCATTTTAAAGTGTACAGTTCAATGACGTCAAGTATATCCATATTGTTGTGCAACCATCACCATCATCCATCTCCAGGATTTTTTAAATGATTTTTTTTTAGAAGCAGGGTCTTGCTCTGTCATACAGGCTGGAGGACAGTGGCACAATCAGAGCTTACTGCAGCCCCAACTCCTGGGCTCAGGGGATCCATGTGCCTCAGCCTCCCGAGTAGCTGGGGCTACAGGTGCACGCCAGCGTGACTGGCTTATTTAAAAAAATTTTTTGTAGAGATGGGGTCTTACTATGTTGCCCAGACTGGTCTTGAACTCCTGGCCTCAAGAGACCCACCTGCGTCAGCCTCCCAAAGTGCTGGGATTATAGGCATGAGCCACTGCACCCAGCCCACTTTCTTCATCTGATAAAACTGAAACTCTATGCCAATTAAATGATAACTCCCTAGTCTTCCCCTCCCTACAGCCTCTGGCAACTACCATCCTACTTTCTGTGTCTATGATTTTGACTACTCTAATCACCTCATAAAAGTGGAATCATACAGTATATGTCTTTTTGTGATTGGCTTATTTCACTTACCGTAACATCCCCAATGTTCATCCATGTTGTGGTATATTGCAGAATTTCCTTCCTTTTTAAGGCTGAATAACATTCCATTGTATGGATATACCACATTTTGTTTATCCATTCATACACCAATGGACACTTGGGATTGTTTCCACATTTTAGCTATTGTGAATAATTCTCCTGTGAACACGGATGTACACATATCTCTTTGAGACCATGCTTTCAATTATCTTGGGTACACACCCAGAAGTGAAACTGCTGGATCCCATGGTAAGTCTTTTTTTTTTTTTTTTTTGCCCAGGCTGGAGTGCAGTGGTGCAATCTCAGCTCACTGCATCCTCCACCTCCCAGGTTCAAGTGATTCTCATGCCCCACCCTCCCAAGTAGCTGGGACTACAGTCACATGCCACACACCTGGCTAATTTTTGTATTATTAGTAGAGACAGGGTTTCACCATGTTGGCCAGGCTGGTCTCAAACTCCTGACCTCAAGTGATCTGCCTGCCTGTTTCGTCCTCTCAAAATGCTGGGATTACAGGTGTGAGCCACCACACCCAGCCGGTAATTCTATTTTTAATTTTTAGAGGAACCACTATACTGTTTTCCACAGTGACTGTATCATTTTACATTTCCACCATGAGGGTACAAAGGTTCCAATTTCTCCACATTCATAACAACTCTTGTTATTTTCTGTGTTTTGGTAGAGACGGGGTCTCCCTATCTTGCCCAGGCTGGTATTCAACTTTTTGTTTTAATAGCCATCCTAATGGGTGTGAAGTGGGATCTCATTGTAGTTTTGACTTACATTTCCTTTATGATTAGTGATGATATATCTTCTTTGGAGAAATATCTGTTCAAGTTATTTACACATTTTTCAATTTTTTTTGGTTGCTGAGTTACAAATATTTTCTCCCATCTTGCAGGTTGCCTTTTTACTCCGTTGATCATATCTTTGTTTTTTCTTTTCTTCTTTCCCTTCTCTCCCTTCCTGACTCTTGCTCTGTTGCCCAGTCTGATTCCTGGACTCAAGCCAGGAGTCCTCTCAACTCAGCCTCTTGAGTAGCGGTGACTACAGGTGTATACCAGTGCCCCCAGTTCTGATAGTGTCTTTTGACAAACAAATGTTTTACATTTTCATACAGTTTTTCTTTTGTTGCCTGTGCCTTTGGTGTCATATCCAAGAAATCATTGCCAAATCCAATGTTGTGAAGCTCTTGCCCTATGTTTTATTGTAAGAGTTTTATAGTTTTAGGTCTTATGATCCATTTGAGTTAATTTCTGTATATCGTCTAAGGTCAGGGCCCAAGTTCATTCTTTTGCATCTGGGTATTCCATTCTCCCAGCACCATTTACTGAAAAGACTGTCTCTTATCCATTGAATGGTCTTGGCATCCTTGCTGAAAATCATTTGACCATATATGTGAGGATTTATTTCTGGAGAGAGGGCATTACATTTTGTAGGGCACAAAGGTGCATCAGAGTGTAGACTGTTCTAATACATTTGAATTGGTCAGAGGGAGATTGTTTAGAATGGAGTTGGATCTCATTTTTGTTTCAAAGAAAAAGGAGAGAGATTTGACTTGGGGGGGGGGCGGTAAATTAGCTGACTTAAAGGGGGTTTGAGACCGGCCTGGGCAACATGGTGAGACCCCCACCTCTATAAAAAATAAAAAATTAGCCAGGCATGGTGGTGTGTGCCTGTAGTCCCAGCCACTCGGGGGGCTGAGGTAGGAGGATGGCTTGAGCCCAGGAGGTCAAGGGTGTAATAAACTGTGATCATCCCACTGCACTCCAGTTTGGGTGACAGAGTGAGATCCTGTCTCAAAAAAAATAAAAAAGAATTGGCCGGGTGGAGTGGCTTATACCTGTAATCCCAGCACTTTGGGAGGCTGAGGTGGGCAGATCACCTAAGGTCAAGAGTTTGAGACCAGCCTGGCCAACATGGTGAAAGCCTGTCTCTACTAAAAATACAAAAATTAGCTGGGCGTGGTGGCGTGCACCTGTAGTCCCAGCTACTCGGGAGACTGAGGCAGGAGAACCGCTTGAACCCGGGAGGCAGAGGTTGCAGTGAGCCAAGATCATGCCACTGCACTCCAGCCTAGGCAACAGAGTGAGATTCTGTCTCAAAAAAATAAAATAAAATAAAAAAGAATTACGGATTTTTAGACTCCTTTCCTGCCCTAGTTTATCTGGTTCACACCCTTTTCTTTCTTTTTACATTTAAGAGTCAGGGTCTCACTCTGTCACCCAGCCTGGAGTGCAGAGGCACATTCATAACTCACTGAAGCCTCCACCCCCGGGCTCAAGTGATTCTCCCAACTCGGTCTCTCAAGTAGCTAGGACTACAAACATGCACCACCATTCCTGGTTAAATTTTTAATTTAATTTAATTAATTTATTTTTTGAGACAGAGTCTCCCTCTGTCATCCAGGCTGGAGGGCAGTGGCATGATCTTGGACCACTGCAACCTCCACCTCCCAGGTTCAAGTGATTCTCCTGTCTCAGCCTCCTGAGTAGCTGGGACTACAGTCGTGTGCTATGCCCAGCTAACTTCTGTATTTTTTAGTAGAGATGGAATTTTAACCATGTTTGCCAGGCTGGTCTCGAACTCCTGATTGCCAAGTGATCCAACTGCTTTGGCCTCCCAAAGTGCTGTGATTACAGGTGTGAGCCATGGTGCCCAGCCAAATTTTATTTTTTTGAAGATGGGGTCTCACCATGTTGCCCAGGCTGGTCTCAAGCTCCTGGCCTTGATCCTCTTGCCTCAGCCTCCCAAATTGCTGGGATTACAGGTGTGAGCCATCATGCCTGGCTCCCTCATTTTTATGTATAAAGAAGGCTGATGTTATTCCTAAGGTCAGGATTACCAACAAATATGTATCACAGAAGGAAAAGTCCAGCTCTGTTGAGGAAGTACTTCTTTTTCCTGGAACAGGCAGATTTGGTAAGGAATGAGCTCTCTATAGCTATGAATGTACAAACAGAAGTCAGACGAACACCTGCTGTATAAGGCAAGTCTGAACATCTCTCTCCTTGTTTACAGATGTTCCATGATTGCCCATTAACTTCAGAATAAAAACTTGCTTTTTTAACAATGATGCGGTCCTAGTCTAACTTTATAGCATCATCTTCTGCCATGTATATATGTTCTTGATATCTCTAACTTTATGAACGCTAATGTCCTTTTAAATTCTAAAATCTTATTCACTTAAAAAAATGCCACCTTAAGAAAAACTGACTGTTTCTAATGTTTCAATGAAGTAAGCTGCAGGGTGTGGCTGTAGTTTAAAATTCCACGCATAGAATCCTCAGGACAGATGAAATGGAATCAACAGGTAGAAAGTACACACATGTGCTAGTGTGAGTCTAAGGGCACATGAAATCCAAATGGGGCAGATGAGAAGAAACTAAATTTTAAGAAGAAAGGGAATTCATTTGTGTGGAACATTTACTATGAAATAGGCATTTTTACACATTTTCATCTCATTGACTTTTAAGAATGCAAACAGACAAAGAGAAGTAAATCCTTTACACTATCTTGAGGTGAGCACACACCTCAAGAGCTTTGGTATTGTCATGATCTTTGCAAGAATCACAAAAATTTTAGACACTGACCATATCTTATGCTTTATAGACAATTTAGAGTGTCAACAAGCAATTTCTGAGTGCTTTCTATATGTGTCAGGATTATGCTGGGTGCTGAAAATACAAAGGTAAAGGAGACTTGGTTAGGACCACATCATGGGGGTGATGCACTGTTTTTCACTAGAGATCATTATCACCCAGGGCCTATAGTCTCTCTCCTTGGAGAAATCAAGTACACAGGAAAAAAAAAAATGGGGCTCAGAGAAACAGCTTAGCAGGTCTGATTGTATTTATCTCTGCTTACAAGTGATCAGTGATTCCCCAATAACTATAATATAAAGCCTGCTTTTTTTCCAGTGGCATACAGGGCCCTTTATGATCAAACAGCAAAACTTGGTTTGAACAGACTTAGGCACCTTTCTTTTTTCTTGAAATGGAGTCCTGTTCTGTCACCCAGACTGGAGTGCAGAGGCATGATCTCGGCTCACTGCAACCTCTGCCTCCCGGGTTCAAGCGATTCTCCTGCCTCAACCTCCTGAGTAGCTGGGATTACAGGCACCCACCACCATGCCTGGCTAATTTTTGTATTTTTAGTAGAGATGGGGTTTCACCATGTTGCCCAGGCTGGTCTTGAACTCCTGACCTCAAGTGATCTGCCCACCTCGGCCTCCCAAAGTGCTGGGACTAGGCACCTTTCTTGTTATAATTTTACTTACCAAGTCACCTTTTCATTCAATATTATTAGTTTTTTACTAAGTTTTCTTATTCACCTAGGAAGACAACAGAATATGAATATTGATCCACTGAGTAATTATATTCCTCATGAGATACAATGAAATAAGATTTTTACTGCAAGTTATTTTCACCTGGGTTTGGATGAAACTAAGTTTTCAGAACTTCCAGACTGGAGGCTTAACCACAATCATGAGATTTCCCTTGAAAGTTTAAGTCCTCAGAGGATTTTTACATAGAAATCAGACATTTACCATTTTATATCTCAAAAACCTGTGGTTCAATGGGAAGAATACAGGGCTGGTATTCTAGTCCAGCCTGTGACTTACTGTATGACCCTGGGCATGAATTAAACCTTATACTCCATAAATTTCCTTATTCTTTGTGTCAGAACCATACTTGCTCTAGCTGTGATGATAAAATTATAGTTGTCAAAATTTTCAACTCGACAACTATGTAGGTATCAGAAGGAATACCTTGTAAGTATCTGTGCTGAAGTGTACAATCTATTGGGGTCACGGAATTCAGAGAATAGAGGGATCACATTCAGTGGAGTGCAGAGGAGGGGTGGTAATCAGGAAGATTTAATAAAGAAGGTAGAGGTTGAGCTGGGTCTTGGGGAATAAGCAAGGTAGTAGAAGAGAGTATCTGGAGGGGATAAGGGCAGAGAGGCACTGAAATTTTCAGTCTGGCCCCAGTTTTCTTTTCCAGATTCATTATCTTCTGCACACTCCAGAGTCAATGCTGCCCTCTGAATCACAGACATGTGTCTGGCACACAGCAGACAGATCTTCAAGGTCCAGCTTTTAGTTCTTCCACGGAAGTCTCACCAAAGTGGAATTTATCACACTCTCCTCTGGATTTGCCCAGCCCTTTGTTAATAAGACCTGTTGCTTTTATTGTAGCTCACCTGCTTGCTCAATGGGGAACTTTTTGGAGACAGGAAGCAATGATTTGTCTTTGTTTCCCTAGGCACCTAACAACGCTTTGCTCTTAAGTAATTAGGAAATGTTTACTCAATTGAACTTGTTCTAAGGACACTGCTATCACTGAATTGAAGGGCATGTCGGTATCTTCTTAGTGTCTCTATAGGCTTTAGGCTTTCAGCCGGGTGAAGTAGGGATTTTTTCTTTGTTTCCAGGCTAGTCAAGCGAAGCAGGGATACAGATTAAGAATTTGCAGATGAGGAAACTCAAGAGGGTACATTTGCTCAAAGGCATCATGTTGATAAACGCCAAAACCAGGTAGGGCTCTTTTGACTTGAAATCCAGTCCTCTATCCATTATACCTGGGCCTTGTAGCATCAGCCAGATTGGGGTAAAATGCACTAACTCTGAACCCTAGTTTTTTCATCCGTAAATGAGAGCAACAGTACGTAACTCACAGGGCTATCGTGAAGTGGAGCGTCCCTCTGTGACCTCTAACCAGTCCCAGCCTGAGTCACATTATAAGAAAATTTATAAGGCACTATCTTGTAAATACTTAAGATTTAACATCTTCCCTTCACCTCTACGTCCACTCTTTTCATACCTTTTTCCTGCCTAGCATGTGTCAAACTCAAAGGACTGGGCACAGAGCACAGAGGTTGTGTGCTTTGTCCAGCTTTGAGGTCAGAGATTGGCTAAATAATCTCTGAGGCTGGGGTCTTAAAAAAAAACAACAAAAAACAAAACTAACAAAACCTTAAGTCCGTTCCGCCCGTGACTTTAAATAATTATGTAGAGGAATGTAATACGTTAAAAGCAAGGGGATGAGGGGGCCCATTGATGGTAGATGGTTTTATGCCCGCCTGCAGCTAAAGAAATGATTTCTAAAACCTCTTTTGGGGGTGGGAGATGGAGTGCTCCAGAGATTTCTCTTCGAGCTCCTTCATTCCTGAACTGCCTGCCTTTTCAAAGGAAAAAAGGTCCAGCTGCGGTGGGCTGGAGGCCGTGGTGAGTGGGTGGGGGTCGACCCTGGCGGCTTCCTCTGCCCCGCTCCCTACCGTTGCTCCGAAGCCCGCTTGGGCTTCCGAGGGTCCGCCGAGGCTCGGGCCACGCCCAGTCCGAGTGCCAGGCCAGAGGGTACCCATTCCAGGCCGGCCTTCCTCCCCAGGGGGAGCAGCCTTGGGAGCGAGGCGCCGAGGCGGCCCTCGGGCTCGGCTTCCAGCTCGGGGGCCTCGGCAGAGACTAGGAACCAGACTGGGGCAGCACTGGGGCGCCCGCCACCCCCACCCACTCCGGCAAGCGGGCGAATCAGCGCGGCTAACCCGCGGCGCCCAGGCGGGCTGCGGGACCTCGCGACCTCCGCTCGGCGGCCCCGCCCCTGCCCGCGAGCCCCGGGTGGCTCCCTCCTCCCCTCTGCCAGCGGCCCGCCCCCTCCTCGCGAGCTAACGAGTGTCTCTCGCGCGCTCCCTTCCCTCCGCGTGGGTGTGAGTGCGCGATCCTCCTACCTCGGCCTTCTCCCCATTGTTTCTTCGCGGCCACCACGAGACCCCTCCCCCCAGTGCTGTTTCCCCCCTCCCCCGCCCCGGTGTAAACGGTGCCTGTGGGGCCCCCCGAACGAAGGGAGGGGGCACCCCTGAACCCTTCCCTCTGCGCGTAGCTCCTCCTCTCCCGGGCCAGGACCCCATTACAGGCTCTGTCCTCTCCCCTCCCCCTCTCCCCCGGCAACCGCTCTCCCTCGCCCCCTCCCCTCAGCGGGTCCTCCTCTTTCTCTCCCTCTCCCTCTCCCTCCTCCTCCCCCTCCCCATCCCTTCCCCCCCACAATGCAGTTCGCGGCGCGGCGGACATGGCGGTGGAGTCCTGAGCTAGTCGTGTCCCGGCCTCCAGCGGCGGCAGCGGCGACGGCGGCGGCAGCAGGAGGCGGAGGGAGAGCAGGAGCCACTGAGATGAGGAGGCGTCGCGCGCGCCTGTAGCTCGCGGGCCTCGCAGGTACGAGGTTCCGGCCGCGGGGCAGCGTCGGGTACCGAGGGGGTGTGCTCGGGAAGGCCGGGCGGCCCCCGGTTCGCCCTCCCCAGGTGCCGCGCTTCGCAGGTGTCGGGGGCCTGGCCTGAGAGCGTCTCAGCCGCCCCCTGGGGGCCTGACACTTCTTTCTTTCCTGGAACGGGCTTCGGGTGTCCCAGGGGAAGGCTGAGATAAGGGAGGTGGGGACGGCGGCCTGGGCGGCCTGAGGAGGGCATTGGGGCGCTTTGGGGACGAACTCCACACTGTGGCTGGGGCTCCCGGTCCCGGACCGAAACCTGTTGTAGACCAGCGGGGCGGATTTTGAGTTAACGGGATTGGTTTGAACATTTCTGTTGGGTCCAGTTACGATTCCCTGTCATGTGTACCTTTTTCTTTCACCCTTGCTTAGACATAGGTGACTACATAATGTATATAAATGTATACACGCATATAATACATACTGAATGTTTCCCCGGGCTCGTCCTTGTAGGGAGAAGGCAGAGGTGTCTGTGTGGATTTTGTTTCTTGCTCGCCCGCCTTCTCTCTCCCCCGCCCCCCAGTCGAAAGGTGGTAATGCGCGGTTTTGACGTGGGTAACTGAGATTCGTATTTGTAAACAGATAGCGCTCTCCTAGTGTGTTGCACGCCTCTGCGAAGGGTTTCAGACTCCTGTTGGTATCTGGATTGCGAAAGAATGAGATGTTTAGACCTGAAAGAAGCACATCAGCGGGATTTCTAGTCGTACTTGAATGGGATGAATTACTGTTGTATTAACAACGTTGATTACACATTTTCTTTTCAGAAGATTTCGAAGTCTTAGATGAATTTTGCGTGAGATCTTAGATACCGTATATCTGCTTCTTCATTTTGATAGAAGTAGTAGTTCCTTACACATTTGACCTGCCCTATCGTGATCTTAAATTGTGTCCAGAAATGCAATTCGAATTGTGTATTGTTGGCATGCATTTAGTAATTAGCCCGAGTGGATCAGATGGCCTTTTATTTCCAAAGATTTTTTCCCTCCAGTCTTACAGCAGCGAAATGTTTGTAGCACTTGATGAAACAGAACATATCCTGTTTCTGTTTTTAAAGTAATGAGAACTGTTAGCTAATAAAATTGGATAATCCCAGCCAGATATGATAATTCAGAGAATACCACCGAGAGGTGTTGAATTGTGGGATGGTTTAAAAAGAAAAGCCGACTTTGTGTGTGTGTGTGTATGTGTGTGTGTGCGCGCGCGAGCGCGCTGAAATTTTCTTTAGGCTTAGAACTCATGTATGTCACTACACTGCATCGTAGTACTGATTAGTCACAACTGGTAAAATGAAATATTGATTCTCTTAAAAAGCTGTGCTTAAGATAACTCATTAGTGTCTAGTGTGCTATGTTGCTTTTATAAACAAATTTTTAAAGATTGCTTCTTAGAAACCATATACTTTGGGGAAGATAAGAATTTTAAGTCGTTTTATGCTTTAAAAATATTTATATTTAATATAAACAAAAGAAACTTACTTTTAAAACTCTTAGATAAATTTTTCTGCTGCTTGCAGTTTTTCACTTGGCTAGTGTGGAAAATGAAAAATGAAGTTTTCTTAAAATAATTCAGAAATGGAAGTGAAAGTTAATGACATTTGATGTTTTAAATCCAGCAAACATTTAAATACAGAAAAGAAATTTAAAGTATTTTCATTGTCATAGGCCAAGTTGTTAGTACAGATAAATTAACAAATATTGTCATGCATATAAGTTCAAGTTTATAAATTCTAAGTGACACCTAAAATTACATTTATTTTTAGTTGCTGGAGCTAGAACAGTACAGTGTCTACATTTTAATTTTAGACCTTTTAGAATCAAAATGTATAATTATAAATTTCTCTGATTAACAAAGAGCTGTTTAAAGAGAATTTTTATTAGCTCTCAGCAGATTCATTTTAGAGTAAGTAATTAGAATTCTTTTTTATCTCAAAGTTAATCTTGACATAAAAATAAGTACCATTAATTATGTTGTGTTCTCTACAGAATGTCAAATCAGGATCTGTTGATCAAGAAAGGTGTTTGAATTTATTCACTGTTAAAGTTTCTAGTTTCAGAGAAACAAAATAACCAACACTTACCTGTAGGGCCTGGCCAGGTGGCTCACTCACGCCTGTAATCTCAGCACTTTGGGAAGTGGAGGCGAGAGGATTGCTTGAGCGTAGGAGTTTGATATCAGTCTGAGCAGCATAGTGAGACTTTGTCACTGCCAAAAAATAAAAGAAATTAGCTGGGCGTGGTGGTGTGCGTCTGTAGTCCCAGAAGCTGAGGTAGGAGGTTTGCCTGAGCCCAGAGTTCAAGGTTGCAGTGAGGCACAGTTGCGCCACTGTACTCCAGCCTGGGCGACAGAGTAAGACCCTGTCTTAAACAAAAAAAAAAAAAAAAAAAAGCAATACTTACCTGTTAATGTTGATGCCAGAACATTTTGTTTGACAAAATAGAACTCAATGAGTTGTGTTCCTTTTTCAAATAAATTGCAAATACTTGAATTGATTAAAAAATGTTAAATTCAGTTAAAGCCACTGCAGTAGGATAGAAATACGTTCTAAAAAAGAACAATTCCAGAAAGACCTAAAAAAGTCAAAGGAAAGGGACACCATACTTTAAAACAGGATATGTAGACTTTTTGTTATTAATCTTAGAGCAATTAGAGTTGTTTACTGGGTACTAACTGAATTGTTTTAATTCTAGAATCCTAAATAATTACATAATTTGGGGGAAATGTTTAAAAACCATCATTTCTGCAGAGTATTTTTCTTTCCTTTTTTAAATCTTTATTTTATTATGTACAGACTATATTCAAATAAACCACACACTCTGAAAAAGCAGGTTCCGACTTTTCCTCCGGAGTATTTCTTACAGGCCCAAGGAGAAGAAAGGGTATATAAATGCAAAGATTAATGTTAGGATTTTTCCCCCTTAAGTGAGAGATTTGTGTGGTGTCTTATGTTCAAATTATTTTTATGTCACATCATCTCATTGGATATCTATAATTATGAGTTGAGGGAGAGAGAAGGGAACCAAAACTTTTTAGAGTGCCTGTTTTGTTCCAGGCACTGCGCTAGACACTGTTTATGCATTTTTTTTTCACTCGTTCAGTGTAACAGCCCTTTGAAACCTGTTTATAGGTGAGGAATCTTTGAGTCACAGAGGTTAGTGATTTGCTGAAGATCATAGAATTAGATTTCAAAGCAGATCTCTCTTCCTAATATAATGTATATGTGATGTTGCTTTTCAGGTGTATTATTTTCTCAATTATTTAGAATGGGAAACTGCCTAAGGTTGTTCATTCATTCATTTAAACATTCATTTCATCAAACATTTGCATTTGTATCAGTCTACATATAATACAGTAAATTACAACACACTAGATTGTGGGAGTTGAGAGGGAAGAAACTAGCTCTTGAAGGGTGAGTAGGAGTTTGCTAGGTGGAGAGGAAGATGGACTGGAGGTTGGAGGTCATTCCAGACCTAGGGAATAACATGCAAAGATGATAAATTGTAATGAGCCTTGGGGAGTGAGGGAGAGTGAGAAATTCAGTGTGGTAGGAATTGATATGGATAGAATGGTGAGATAAATGATTGGAAGTAGCAAATTGTGAGGGACCATTTATGTTGTATTAAGGTGTTTGAATTTTTATCTTGTGAGATCACCAAGTGAGATAGTGGTTGAGCTGTGATTAGAACTATGTTTTCTGACTCCTAGTTTTGTATTTTTTTCTCCTTGGCTTCCTAGCTAACAGAGTTTACCCGTTTTTAGTGGATAGGCAAGCCTTCTTTTCCGTACCACTCTTCTCTCCTCTCCCTATATTCTAGACTTTTATCTTGAGAATTCTGTGATCCAAATCTTACTGTCCAAGAACTTTTAATTTTTTGGAAAAGTCTTTTGGGATGAAAACACCTCTGGGGGAGATCACCTTGTTATACTACTTAGGAAGTTTTTTCACTTGTTGGCTTGGATTAGTTGACTATTTTCTAGTTTAGCTCTAGAAAACAATAGCTTAAGGCATTGAAGAGCATGGGCTGGAAGAAGGGAGACGCTATTCATGCAAGTTTGATGTTCACCACTATAGATGGGCAAAGTCCTAATCTTTACATAAGGCATCTTGTACTTTTAAAAAGAAATAGGTATGTTTGTTAACCACACAACAATCTGATTGCTTTAAGTGGATATTTGATTTACAATGATAATAGATAACTTATTGCATAGTTACTATGAGCTAATTTCTTTCTCAAGATCTTTGAAGTGTTAACTTAGTCTTCAAAACAACCCTTTTTATATTATTCTCATTTATAGATGGGAAAAGTCCATGTAGAAGGATTGAGTACCTTGGACAATATCTCATAGCTAGTTTGCTGCAGTCAGGATTTGAACTCAAAGTGTCTGAGTCTAGAGTCACAGCTCTTTGCCACTGTACTGTGTTGTACCTTCAAGTTTAGGGTGTCAAAATTTTGTGTACAGAGAGTTAAATTCTGTAGTCACATAGGTTGTTAAAAATATTTTGCAAATATGCAAAGTATGAATTATAGAGAATGACTAAGCCTGATTGCATTTTGTCAGTGTGTAGTTTAATAATATAATTATTAAATTAAATATTTAACTAACACTATAGTTTAAATAATTTAATTGACCAGTCATTAAGTGTTCATTAAGTGCTAGTCATGTGCTGAGTATTAGTTTAGGCCAGTGGTATTCAAACTATGGGGACCTTTTGGAGAGGGGTGTCTCTGAGTCAAACTGTTTTCATGGTAATATTAAGACACAATTTGACTTTTCCCTTATTCTCTGGTCTGGGGTGACATGTGAAGACTTTATTGCTTTGATGGCTAATGTAATGTGTAATAGTGTATTTTTTTCCCCTTTTTTCTTTGAGATATAATTTACAATACCATAAAATTCACACTTTTAAAAGATACAATTCAGTGGCTTTTAGTATATTTATAAGGTTGTGTAACCATCACTATTTAATTTTGGAATGTTTTTATCCCATAATGAAACCCAGTTCCCATTAACAATCACTCCCCATTCCTTCCTCCTCCAAGCCTTTGGCAAGCACTAAGCTACGTCTCTAGAAATTATGGACATTACATATACAAGGAATTATATAGTATGTGGCTTTTTGTGCCTGGCTTCTTTCACTGAACTTAATGTTTTCAAGGTTGGCCATAGTGTAGCATGTTTTAGCTTTTTTCTGGCTGAATAGTATTACCTTCTATGGAGATACCACGTTTTGTTTAACCATTCATCATTTGATGGACATTTGGGTTATTTCTACTTTTTGCCTATAAGGAATGGTGCTGCTGTGAACATAGTTAAACGTTTTTGTGTGGATGTACATTTTCATTTCTCTTGGGTATATACCCAGATTGTAATTGCTGGGTGTTTCGATAAACTTATGATTAACTTTATGAGGAACTGCCAAACTGTTTTCCAAAGTTGTACCATTTTACATTCTCAGTGGCAATGTATGGAAGGTTCCAATTTCTCTACATCCTCACTATCATCTAGTGGGTGACACTTCACCCACTATCTCACTACCTCATTGTGGGTTTGATTTGCATTTCCCTAATGATTAATAAGATGTTGAGCATCTCTTCATGTGCCTGTTGTGCATTTGTCTATCTCCTTTGGAAAGATACCTATTCAAATCCTTTACCCGTTTTTAAAAATTGTTGAGTTTTAAGAACTCAATATATTCTGGATACTAGATGCCCCCACTTTTTTTTTTGAGACAGTCTTGCTCTATCACCAAGGCTGAAGTGCAGTGGCGTGAACATGGCTCACTGCAGCCTCTGCCTTCTGGCCTCCACCTCCTGGGCCTCAAGCGATCCTCCTGCCTTAGCCTCTTGAGTAGCTAGGACTACAGGTGCATGCCACCATGCCCAGCTAATTTTTTTGATTGATTTATTTATTTTTGTAGAGACAGGATCTCATTATGTTGTCTAGGCTGGTCTCAAACTCCTGGCCTCAAATGATCCTCCTTCCTCAGCCTCCGAAAGTGCCAGGATTACAGGTATGAGCCATCTCGCCCAGGCTAGACCCTTTTTAGATATATTATTTACAAAAATGCTGTCTCATTTTGTGGAGTGTCTATTCACCTTAAAAAAGATTCTAAAAATTGTGATAAAGTGTACATAACAAATTAACCATTTAAACTTGTTTCCAACTTTTAAAAATTGCAGTAAAATATACATAACACAACATATCATCTTAATGATTTTTAAGTGTATCATTCAGTGGTATTAAATACATTCATAATGTTGTGCAGCCATCATCACCATCCATCCCTATAACCCTTTTCATCTTATAAAACTGAAACTCTATACCCATTAAATGATAATTTCCCGTTCCCTTCTTCCCTCACCCCTGACAACCACTATTCTGTCTTTACGATTTTGACTACTCTAAATACCTCATATAAATTGAATCATACAATATTTGTCTTGTGGCTTATTTCACTTAGCATAGTGTCCTCAAGGTTCATCATGTGGCATATTGCAGAATTTCCTTCTTTTTTAAGGCTGAATAACATTCCATTGTATAGATATATCACATTTTGCTTATCCCTTTGTCTATGAGTAGACACTTGGGTTATTTCCATGTTTTAGCTATTGTGAATGATGCTGCTGTGAACATGAGTGTACAGTATCTCTTAGCCTGCTTTCAATTTTTTTGGTATATACCCAGAAGTGAAATTATTGGATCATATGGTAATTTTATTCTTCTTCTTCTATTTATTTATTTATGAGACAAGATCTGGCTCTGTCTCCCAAGCTGGAGTGCAGTGGCATGGTGTTGGCTCACTGCAACCTCTGCCTCCTGGGCTCAAGCCATCCTCCCACCTCAGCCTCTTGAGTAGGTGGGACTGTGGGCGCTTGCGACCACACCTGGCCAATTTTTTTTTTTTTTTTTTTTTTTGTATTTTTGTAGAGATGCAGTTTCACCATATTGCCCAGGCTGGTCTCAAACTCCTGAGCTCAAGTGATGTGCCTGCCTCGGCCTCCCAAACTGCTGGGATTACAGGCATGAGCCATCGCGCCTGGCCTATTATTATTATTATTTTTGACACCTTAGCATCATTGAGTATATTTTTAATTTTTTGAAGAACTGCTATATTGTTTTCCATAGTGGCTGTACCATTTTACGTTCCTACCAACAGTGCACAGAGGTTCTGATATTTCCACAGCCTTGCCAACACTTGCTATTTTCTATTTATTTAATAGTAGTCCTGTCCTATGGGTTGTGAGTTGGTATCTCATTGGAGTTTTGATTTGCATTTCCCTAATGATTAGTGATATTCAGCATCTTTTCACGTGCTTGTGGCCGTCTGTATATCTTCTTTGGAGAAATGTCTATGCCAGCCCTTTGCCCATTTTCAAATCAGGTCATTTTTTGTTCATTTTTTGGAGTTGCTATATATTCTGGATATTAGTCCCTTATCAGATACATGATTTATAAATATTTTCTTCCATTCTGTTCTGTGGGGTTACTTTTTTTTTTTTTTTTGAGACAGAGTCTTACTCTCTGTCACCCAGACTGTAGAGCAGTGGCGCAATCTTGGCTCACCACAATCTCCAGCTCCCAGGCTCAAGCAATTCTCCTACCTCATTCTCCTGAGTAGCTGGGATTACAGGCGCTTGCCACTACTGCCCAGCTAAATTTTGTATTTTTAGTAGAGACGGAATTTCACCATGTTGGCCAGGCTGGTCTTGAACTCCTGACCTCAAATGTTCCACTCACTTCGGCCTCCCAAAGTACAAGGATTATAGGCATGAGCCACCATGCCTGGCCTTTACTCTGTTTCTTTTCTGGCTTTTTTTTTTTTTTGGGGACAAGGTCTCACTCTGTCCCCTAGGCTGGGGTGCAGTGGCGCAATCATGGCTCAGTGCAGCCTTGACCTCCCTGGGCTCAAGAGATCATCCCACCTCAGCCTTTGGAGTAGCTGGGACTACAGGCACATGTCACCACGACACTCGAATTTTAAGATTTTTGTAGAGACAGGGTCTCACTATGTTGCATAGGCTGGCCTTGAACTCCTGACCTCAAGTGATCCTCCTGGCTGGGCCTCCCAGAGTGCTGGGATTATAGGTGTGAGCCACCATGCCTAGCCTGGCCACCATTTTACTCAGTTGATAGTGTCTTTTGATTAACAAAAGTTTTAAATTTTCAGCCAGTCTAGTTTGTCCATTTTTTCTTTTGTTGCCCGTGCCTTTGGTGTCATACTCAACAAATAATTGCCAACTCCAGTGTCATGAAGCTTTTCCCTTTTGTTTTCGTCTAAGAGCCTTATAGTTTTATGTTTCTTAGTTATGGTTTTATAGTTACAAGTTTAGGTTTCTTAGGTCTTTGATCCATTTTGAGTTAATTTTTGTTTATGGTCAAAATTCAATCTTTTGCAGATGGATTACCAGTTTTCCCAGCGCCATTTGCTGAAAAGACTGTCCTTTCCCTATTGAATGGCTTTGTCATCCTTGTTAAAAATTATTTGACCACATATGTGAGGGTTTATTTCTGGTCTGTTTGATTCCATTGGTCTGTCTGTATGTATTTATACTAATACCATACTATTTTGATTACTGTAGCTTTTTTTTTTTTTTGAAATGGAGTCTCACTCTGTCGCCCAGGCTGAAGTGCACTGGCACGATCTCAGCTCACTGCAAGCTCCGCCTCCCAGGTTCATGCCATTCTCCTGCCTCAGCCTCCCGAGTAGCCTGGGACTACAGGCGCCCACCACCACACCCGGCTAAGTTTTTGTATTTTTAGTAGAGACGGGGTTTCACCATGTTCGCCAGGATGGTCTCATCTCCTGACCTTGTGATCTGCCTGCCTCGGCCTCCCGAAGTGCTGGGATTACAGGCATGAGCCACTGTGCCCAGCCTGATTATTGTAGCTTTGTAGTAAGTTTTGCGACTAGGAAGTATGAGTCCTCCACTTTTGTTTTTCTTTGTCAAGACTTTTGGCTATTTGGGGTCTCTTGAGATTCCATGTGAATTTTAGGATTGATTTTGGTATTTCTGCAAAAAATGTCATTGGAATTTTGATAGGGATTGCATTAAATGTTTAGATTGCTTTGGGTAGTGTGGACATTTTAACAACAGTAAGGCCAGGCACAGTGGCTCATGCCTGTAATCCCAGCACTTTAGGAGGCCGAGGCTGGTGGATTACCTGAGGTCAGGAGTTCAAGACCAGCCTGACCAACATGGTGAAACCCTGTCCCTACTAAAAATACAAAAATTACCTGGGCCCAGTGGCAGGTACCTGTAATCCCAGCTACTCAGGAGGCTGAGGCAGGAGAATCGCTTGAACCCGGGAGGCGGAGGTTGCAGTGAGCTGAGATTGCGCCATTGCACTCCAGTCTGGGAGAGAGAGCGAGACTCCATCTCAAAAAAAAAAAAAAAAAAATTAAGTCTTTTGGTCTGTGGACATAGAATGTGTTTCTGTTTATATATTTCTAAATTTCTTTCAGCAATGTTTTATAGTTTTCATTGTACATGTCTTTCACTTCTTTGGTTATGTAATTCCTTAGTACTTTATTCTTTTTGATGGTATTGTAAATGGAATTTTTAAAATTTCCCTTTAGATTATTTATTGTGTTTAGAAATGCAGCTGGTTTTTCGTGTGTTGACTTTGTGTCCTGCTACTTTGCTGAATCCATTTTTTAGTTGTGTGTGTGTGTATAATCTTTAGGGTTTTCTACATATAAAATCATATTATTTGCAAACTGAGATAATTTTACTTCTTCTTTTCCAATTGAGATGCGTTTTGTTTCTTTTGCCTAATGGCGTTGGCTAGAACTTCCAGTACTGTGTTGAGCAGAAATGGTGAACACAGGCCGGGCATGGTGGCTCACGCCTGTAATCCCAGCACTTTGGGAGGCTGAGGTGGGTGGATCACCTGAGGTCAGGAGTTCGAGACCAGCCTGACGAACATGGAGAAACGCTGTCTCTACTAAAAATACAAAATTAGCTGGGCATAGTGGCCTGTAATCCCAGCTACTTGGGAGGGTGAGGCAGGAGAATCGCTTGAACCTGGGAGGCGGAGGTTGCGGTGAGCCGAGATCGTGCCATTGCACTCCAGCCTGGGCAACAAGAGTGAAACTCTGCCTCAAAAAAAAATAAATAAATAAATAAATAAAAAGAAATGGTGAAAACAGACATCTTTCCCTTGTCTTGATGTTAGAGGAAAAGGTTTTCATTTTTATCATTGAGTATGATGTCTACTGTAGGTTTTCCTTAGATAGCTTTTATTATATTGAAGTAGTTTCTTTCTATTCCTAGATTGTTGAGTGTTTTTATCATGAAAGGGTATTGAATTTTGTCAGATTCTTCGTCTGCATCAATTGAGATGATCATGTGGTTTTTCGTTTTGTTTGGTTAATGTGTGTTACATTGATCTGTTTTCATATGTTGAACCATCCTTGCATTCCAGGAATAAATCCCATTTGATCGTGGTGTACAATTCTTTAACTGTGCTGCTGATTTCAGTTTGCTAGTATTCTGTTGTGGATTTTTGCATGAATGTTTATACTATTTTCATTTTAAGCCTCAGCCTCCCAGGTAGCTAAGCATACATTCAGTGACATTAAATTTATTTACATTATTGTGCAACTATCACCACCATCCATTTCCAGAACATTTCCATTTTCCCAAGCTGAAACTCTGTACCCGTCAAACAATAAATTCTCATTTTCCTTGCTTCCTAACCTCTAGCAACCACCATTCTACTTTATTTCTCTATGATTTTGACTGCTGTAGGTACTGCGTATCAGTAGACTCATATAATATTTGTTGTGACTGGCTTCTTTCATATAGCATAATGTCTTCAAAGTTCATCCATGTCATAGCATGTGTCAGAATTGTCTACCTTTTTAAGGCAGAGTAGTAGTTCATTATATATATGTCCCACATTTTGTTTATCCATTCATCTGTTGGTGGATACTTGGGTTGCCTTCACATTTTGGCTATCGTGAATAATGCTTCTTTGAACGTTGATGTTCAAATACCTGTTTCTGCTTTTGGTTATTTGGGTGTATACTTAGAATAGGAATTGTTGGATCATTCTATGTTTAATTTTTTGAGGAGTTGTCATACTGTTTTTTCATTTTCTTGAGTGTGCTCATTGAAATACAAAAGTTTTAAATTTGATGAAGTCCCATTTATCTCTTTTCTTTAGTTTTCTTTGCTTTAAGTGTCATACCTAAAAAATCATTGTTGATCCAAGATTATGAAGATTTACTCCTATGTTTTCTTCTAACAGTTTTACACTTTTAGCTTCTACATTTAGGTCTTTGATCCATTTTGAGTTTTTTTTTTTAATGTGATATGATGTAGGAGTTTCTTTCTTTTTTTTTTTTGAGACGGAGTCTCGCTCTGTCACCCAGGCTGGAGCGCAATGGCGCGATCTTGGCTCACTGCAACCTCTGCCTCCTGGGTTCAAGCGATTCTCCTGCCTCAGCCTCCCAAGTAGCTGGGATTACTGGCGCCTGCCACCATGTTCAGCTAATTTTTGTATTTTTAGTAGAGATGGGGTTTCACCACATTGGCCAGGCTAGTCTCGAACTCCTGACTTCAGGTAATCCACTGCCTTGGACTCCCAAAGTGCTAGGATTACAGGCGTGAGCCCCCGTGCCCAGCCTGATGTAGAAGTTTTACTTCTTCTTTTTTTTTTTTTTTTTTTAAGACAGAGTCTCGCTCTGTGGCCCAGGCTGGAGTGCAGTCGCGTGATCTTGGCTCACTGCAACCTCTGCCTCCTCCTGGGTTCAGGCAATTCTTGTGCCTCAGTCACCCTAGTAGTTGAGATTACAGGTGTACACCACCATGCCCAGCTAATTTTTGTATTTTTAGTAGAGACAGTGTTTTACCATGTTGGCCAGGCTGGTCCCTAACTCCTGGCCTTGGGTGATCTGCCTGCCTCGGCCTACTAAAGTGCTGAGATTACAGGCGTGAGCCACTGCGTCTGGCCAGTGTATTCTTGTATTTGAAAAATTTCTCAGTTTTAATAATCTTAACGATGCATGTATCAATAGATATAACACACAAAGACAAAGGTTCTTTGGATCCTCAGTATTTTAAGAGTATAAAGGTATTCTGAGACCAAAAAGTTTGAGAATTACTGATTTAGGCTTAGAGACATACTCTAGTACATAAACTTGGACCAAAAATTGGGAGTCATGTTTCTTGTAGTCATATACCAGTCCCATTTGTGTTATCTTAGGCAAGTCATAAACAGGGTGCCTCATTAATGTATAAAATGGAAATACTGCAAGACTCTAATTATAGTAACTTCACAAATGTGTAAGGATAAGTGAATGGGCATGCTAGACAGGTAGTGTTTGTCTTTTTTTTCTTTCTTTCTTTCTTTTTTTTTTTTTGAGTCGGAGTCTTGCTCTTTCGCCCAGGCTGGAGTGCAGTGGTGCGATCTTAGGTCACTGCAATCTCTACCTCCCCGGTTCAAGTGATTCTTCTGCCTCAGCCTCCTGAGAAGTCGGACTACAGGTGCATGCCACCACACCCTGCAATTTTTTTGTCTTTTTAGTAGAGATGGGGTTTCGCTGTGTTGCCCAGGCTGGTCTTGAACTCCTGACCTCGTGATCCACCCGCCTTGGCCTCCCAAAGTGCTGGGATTACAGGCATGAGCCACCGCGTCCGGCCATTTTTTTTTTTTTTTGAGACAGAGTCTCGCTCTGTCACCCAGGCTGGAGTGCAGTGGCATGATCTTGGCTCACTGCAGTCTCTGCCTCCCGGGTTCACACCATTCTCCTGCCTCAGCCTCCCGAGTAGCTGGTAACACAGGCGCCCGCCACCATGCCCAGCTAATTTTTTTGTATTTTTAGTAGAGACAGGGTTTCACCTTGTTAGCCAGGATGGTCTCGATCTCCTGACCTCGTGATCTGCCCGCCTTGGCCTCCCAAAGTGCTGGGATTACAGGTGTGAGCCTGTAGTCCCGCGCCTGGCCTGTTTTTTTTGTTTTTTTTTTTTTAAGACGGAGTCTTGCTCTTGTCACCCAGGCCAAAGTGCAATGGCATAATCTTGGCTCACTGCAACCCCCGCCTCCTGGTTCAAGTGATTCTTCTTCCTCAGCCTCCTGAGTAGCTGGGATTATAGACGTGAGCCACCACTCCCAGCTAATTTTTGTATTTTTGGTAGAGACAGGGTTTCACCATGTTGTCAGGCTAGTCTCAAACTCTGACCTCAGGACCTCTGAGGTCATGAGCATTTCAGGCCGCCTCGGCCTCCCAAAGTGCTGTGATTATAGGCATGAGCCACCGCGCCCTGCACTGCCATCTTTTTTTAAAACTGAAAATTTGTAAGAGCTCCGGGACTTTTTGTAGGAACTTGTGGCATTGTTAATGTGTCTTGAACATTGCTTTCCCCCCCATACCTGTTTCCTCAAAGCCAGGAAATTATATCCATAGTTTACTACCTACTGTCTATTCTTCGTTCTCTTGTGAGACTGGTGTCCTGCTGGCTATATTTCTTATCTGTCATTGTCATTTCAATCTGGGAATCTGTAGGTCACCCCTTTATATTCACTGATACTTTGGTGTAATTCCTGACATCCATATTGGGCAGTGGGAAGCATAACATTGAATGTTATCTGACACTTTATTTCCTTAATTTCTATCTTCTAGTGATATTCAACTCTACTTTCCTTGATAGCTCCTATTCATATCATTCAAAATGATTCTTCCCACCAAAATTTTCTGAATTATCTGTATATGTATTTTTAATGTTTCTTTAGTTTTTTTAATCTATCCCTAATTTCACTGTAAAGCCTCTTTTTGGCTTTATCCTTTCCCTTCATCGGCATGATTACTGTTGTGTTCCTTACCCTATTGAAATAGTGATTCTGTAACTTCGCAACCCAGTACAAATTATCTCCAAATTGTATAACTAGTGGTGGTTCACATCTGTAATTCCGGGATTCCTTTGGGAGGCTGAGGTGGGAGAATTGTCTTGGTGCCCTAAAGTGTTGGGATTACAGGTGTAAGCCACTTTACCTGGCTTCAACACTCTCTTTAACTTGGTGGTAAGTAAGGCAGGAATGAAAGGAAAAGGAGATATGAATTGCACTATCTTTCCCTTTCCTTCTGCATCATCATTTTTAGAATAAATGTTTAATTCAGGGAAGTAATATTAGTAAGGAAAGATATGATAGGATTCTTTGATCATTCATGTTTTTTTAATCTTCTTTTTCATTTTTCTTTTTTTTTTTTCTTTTCTTTTCTTTTTTTTTTTTTAGACAGAGTCTTGCTCTGTTGCCTAGGCTGGAGTGCAGTGGCATGATTGCAGCTCACTGTAGCCTTCACCTCCCAAGTGCAAGTGATCCTCCCACTTCAGCCTCCTGAGACTGGGACTACAGGTGCCTGGCTAATTTTTTATATTTTGTAGAGATGGAGTCTCCTGTGTTGCCTAGGCTGGTCTAAAACTCCTGGACTCAAGCGGTCCTCCCAGCTTGTCCTCCAAAAGTGCTGTGATTACAGGCATGAACCACCGCACCCAGCTCCCTTTTTTTTTCTCAGTTGCCAAAACAAGAGCATTTATTTGTCTTTCATGTTACATGCCCATTGGGGATAGAATGTATATTCTGCTGATGTTGGATAGAGTCTTTATATATCTGTTAGGTCTAATTATTTTATTTTATTTTTTTGAGATGGAGTCTTGCTCTTTCGCTCAGGTTGGAGTGCAGCGATGCAGTCTTGGCTCACTGCAACCTCCACCTCCTGGATTCAAGCGGTTCTTGTGCCTCAGCTTCCCAAGCAGCTGGGACTATGGGTGTGGGCCACCACACCCGGCTAATTTTTGTATTTTTAGTAGAGACGGGGTTTCACCATGTTGCCCAGGCTTTTCTTGAACTCCTGACCTCAAGTGATCTGCCCCCTTTGGTCTCCCAAAGTGCTGAGATTATAGGCATGAGCCGCCATGCCCAGCCAGTCTAATTAGTTTGTTTGTTTATTTATTTATTTATTCATTTTTGAGACAGTTTTGCTCTTGTTGCCCAGACTGGAGTGCAGTGGCCCGATCTCAGCTCACAGCAAACTGCCTTCTCGGTTCAAGCGATCTTCCTGCTTCAGCCTCCTGAGTAGCTGGGATTACAGGCACGCGCCACCATGCCTGGCTAATTTTTGTATTTTTAGTAGAGATGGGATTTCGCCATGTTGGCCAGGCTGGTCTTGAGTTCCTGACCTCAGGTGATCCACCTGCCCTGGCCTCTCGAAGTGCTGAGATTACAGGCATGAGCCACCGCGCTGAGCCAGTCAAATTAGTTTATAGTGTTACACAAATCCTCTGTTTCCTTTTTGATTTTCTGTCTGGTTGTTCTGTTATTGAAAAGTGGGGTATTGAAGTCTCCTAAGTATGATTATAGAACAATTTCTCTTTTCAATTGTGTTAACTTTTGTTTCCTGTATTTTAGGTCACTGTTGTTAGGTGCATATGTTTATAACTGTTATATGTCCTTGCTGGATTGAACCTTTTATCAATATATAATATCTATCTTTGTGTTTTGTAACCTTTTTTGACTTAAAGTGTTATTTTATCTGGTAATAATTTAGCCCCAGCTCTCTCTTTGTTACTCTTTGCATGGAGTATCTGTTTTCATTTTTTCTTATAACGCCTTTGCTCTTTGTATCTAAAGTGAATCTTGTAGATAGATGATAGATTGTGTTTTCCAATTTGCCAATCTCTCTCTTTTTTTTAATTTTTATTTATTTATTTATTTTGAGATGGAGTTTCACTATTATTGCCCAGGCTGCTGGAGTGCAGTGGCACAATCTCGGCCCACTGCAACCTCCGCCTCCTGGGTTCAAGCGATTATCCTGCCTCAGCCTCCCAAGTAGCTGGGACTATGGGCGCACGCCACCATGCCCGGCTAATTTTTTGTTAGTAGAGACGGGGTTTCACCGTGTTAGCCAGGGTGGTCTCGATCTCCTGACCTCATGATCCGCCTGCCTTGGCCTCCCAAAGTGTTGGGATTACAGGCGTGAGCCACCGCGCCCGGCCTATTTTTTAAAATTTAATTTAATGTTACTTTTTTGAGACGAAACTCTTGTTGCCCAGGCTGGAGTGCAGTGGCACAGTCTCGGCTCACTGCAACCTCCACCTCCTGGGTTCAAGTGATTCTCCTGCCTCAGCCTCCCAAGTAGCTGGGATTACAAGCACCCACCACCACGCCCTCTTATTTTTTCGTATTTTTAGTAGAGACAGGGTTTCACCATGTTCTCCAGGCTGGTTGTGAACTCCTGATCTCAGGTAATCCACCTACCTCGGCCTCCCAAAGTGCTGGGATTACAGGCGTGAGCCACCACGCCTGGCCAATCTCTCTTTTTAATTGGAAAGTTTAATTCATTTACATTTAAAGTAATTACTGGTAAGGATGGATTTACTTCTGCCATTTAGCTCTTTCTTTTCCATATGTTTTTTATGCCTTTTGTTCCTCTAATGCTGCCTTTTTATGTATTTAGTTGATTTTTTATAGAATTATAATCCTGTTTTGATTTTGTGTGTGTGTGTTACTTTCTTAGTGGATGCCTTGGGGATAATGATGTAATTAACATCTTAAATTTATAACAACCTAGTTTGAATAATGCCAGCTTAGTTTAAATAGTACGCAAATACTCTGCTCCTACTCATCTTTCTCTCCTCCTTTATATTTTTATTGTCACAGATTACATCTTTATATAGTTTGTGCCTATTAACAGAGGTTTGTAATGAATTTTTATGCATTTGTCTTTTAAATCATGTAAAAGGGAAAAACCCAAGAGTTACCAAAATTACAATAACATTGGCTTTTATATTTACCTATGTAGTTATTTTTACTAGTGTTCTTTATTTCTTGTTATGGATTTGAATTATTGTCTAATGTCTTTTCATCTCAGCATTAAGAATTTCTTTTAGCACTTGTACGGCAGAATGAACTTTCTCACTTTTTGTTTATCTGGAAATATAATTTCTCCTTCATTCTTGAAAGGCGGTTTTACTGGCTAGAGAATTCTTAGTTCACAGCTTTTTTCTTTTAGGACTTCAAATATGTCACTGCATTGCCTTCTCATTTCCATGGTTTCTTATGGGCAATCAGCTGTTAACTTTTGTTTGATGAGTTAAATTTTCTTGCTTCTTTCAAAGTTCTCTTTGGTTTTGACAATTTGACTCTGTCTCAGTGTGGATTTCTTTGAGTTTACGCTGCTTAAAGTTTATTGAGCTTTGTGGAGGTATATACTTGTGTCTTTCATCAGATTGGGGAAGTTTCTGACCATTGTTTCTTCAAATATTTTTTCTACACCCTTCTCTTTCTTCTTTCTGTGACTCCTATTATGCATATGTTGGTACGCTTGGTAGAGAAGAAAATGAACAGTATTGCCCAGGGAACAAAATGCCAGAGAACAAAAAATACAGAGGGCAGAAAAAAGTTTGAGAAAGAATTTTAGTGTTCTGAATATTAGTGGTCTTTAGAAATATGAGATTATAACTATGAAACAAGATCAGAGTGCTGTGAAAAGGAATAATTAGAGAGAGTTCTTAGAAATAAAAATATGATAGAAGAGTTGGAAGATAGAGTTGAGGAAATCACCTAGGAAGGAGAACAAAAAGAAAGGTGGAAAAATGGAGAGAAAAGATAAGAAAATTGGAGAATCAATTTAGGAGGCCCAAGTCTAATTAATAGGAGCAATAGAAAGAGAACAGAAAAGATGAAAAGGAGGAATTTATAGTAGATAGAAGAAAAAAATTTTACAGAAGTGAATGATGTGAATTACTGATGAACAGAGCCAGCTGACTATGCAACAAGATGACTATGCAACAAGATGAATGAGGAGATATCTACAGCAGGCTTATTGCTTGGAAATTTCAGAATACCAAAGCAAAGAGATCATCCTAGAAGTTTTCTTAGAGAAAAAAACAGGTCAGTAAAAAAGGTAAAGAATAAGAATGGCATAATTTTCTCAGTGCTAGTCCCAGAAACTAGAAATCATTGAAAACATTTTGAATGAATAATTTCTAACCTAGAATTTTATTTTATTTTTTTGGGGACGGGGTGTTGCACTGTCGCCCAGCCTGGGGTTCAGTGGTGCCATCACGGCTCACTGCAGCCTTGACCTCCTGGGCTCAAGTGATTCTTCCACCTCAGCCTCCCAAGTAGCTGGGACCACAGGCATGCGCCACCACATTTGGCTGATTTTTGTTTGTTTTTTTTTTTTTTGTAGAGACAGGGTTTTGCCATGTTGCCTGAGCTGGCTTTGAACTTCTGAACTCAAATGATCCTCCCGCCTCAATCTACCAAAGTGCTGGGATTGCAGGCATGAAGCACCGTGCCTGGCCCTAACCTAGAATTTTATACCTAACTAAATGAGGTGTGAAGATACAATAAAGATATTTCAAATATGCAGTTTTATAAAATTTACTTCTGGTTGGAGTTTACGGGGGTCCAATAAATAGCACCCCTTTTGCTTTCCTGAATTTTCAACAAATTGGGTGAAACGAAGGAAGCATATGGAGACCAGAAGATAATTTTATTTTTATTTAGTTTTTATAATTTTATTTTTGATCACGTTCAGTTTGGAGAAGGCGGCTTATACTTTCAACTGGTTTACTGATACCGAGTGCCAGAATTAGGCAGACTTAGCCCTCAGGAACTGGCAGAGCTGAACAACTGCAGGCCCTATGTGAGCCTTACACCTGTAAATGTTAGAGTATGATGGAACAGAATGGGAAGGAGAGGGGACGGGGCTAAGTTTTGTCTGGATTATTTTCCCAAACTCACTGATGAAGTAAGTTACCTCTTCTCCTTAGGCAAGGAATGAATGAGGGGAGTGGAAAGAGGTCAGGGATGTTATGATAACGGGTATCCGTCTACATAGAATGAAATATCGAAAGTGGGACATAATTATTTTCTTCAATATCTTTCATGTTTTCTTCCTTTTTTTGAGACTGAGTCGCACACTGTTGCACAAGTTGGAGTGCAGTGGTGCAATCTCAGCTCACTGCAATCTCCGCCTCCCAGGTTCAAACGATTTTTGTGCCTCATTCTCCCCAGTAGCTGGGATTACAGGTGTGTGCTACCACACCTGGCTAAATTTTTTTGTATTTTAATAGAGACGAGATTTCGCCATGCCAGGCCAGTCTTGAACTCCTGGCCTCAAGTGATCTACCTGCCTTAGCCTCCCAAAGTGCTCGGATTACAGCCGTGAGCCACTGTGCCTGGCCTCATGTTTCCTTTCTTAGAAAGCTGCTGGAGGGTATGTTCCACCAAAAACAAGGGAATAAATCATGGAAGAGCTAAAAAGAAGAGTCAGCATGAGAGAGCGTAAGGGAATTGGTAGGATGATAGTGAAAGGAACTCTCAGTATAACGACAACTGTAGTGAAAGTATAGTAACGACCAGAAAGCTCCCAAGAAGGGATATCCAAGGAGAGAACAGCAACAACAAAACCAAATTACTTGATGTGTTTGATCTTACTGAGAAGATATTTATAGTTCTGTCAATGAATTATTGATAGGTATGTAGAAGAAGCTTAAGAAAAATGAAGTGATTAATTTCAGGTAAAACTGAAAAGTATACCAAAAGGGAAATGTGATTAAGTATATATATTTCTTAAGTCAAAAGCTAGATCCAGTAATAGAGTGGCTTAAAAAACAAAGAGTTTTATTCCTTTCTCATATAATAGTTGCTGGGTAAATGGTCAGGAAATCTAGATGAGTAGTTTGTTCCATGTGGTCATTCAGGGGCCTAAGTTACATTGATCCTGCTGTCTCACCAAAAGTATGGCCAAGGACTAGCTGAGTGGACATGACCTGGGTTTGTTTGAAATGCAGAATATTGGAACCCACTCCCAATCTACTGAATCAGAATCGCATTTAGTTGTTTATTCCTATACACAAAAGTTTGGGACTCACTGGTCTGGATTAGAACATGATGGTTGAATGATTGAAGCGGGGCAGTTGAAAATTTTATTCAGTGAGAAGAGAAAGAGAGCATGAGGAAGTGAGAACTTTATCAGAAGGCCACATCAGACTGCAGAGAAGTTTGTGAAATGTAGACTAGTCATGTGCTCAGGAAAAAGGAGAAAGTTAATTTTTAGGGACATTTAGGAAACTCTGTGCTACAGTATAGTTGGCTTAACTGTGAATAATATTGGCATATCTTATTAAAATCATCCTAGGAGGATGGTGGTAGGGTGGGGAGGTACTTACGTTGCACAGTTATGTATGTTTTTAAGGGGAATATTTGAGATAGCTAAATCCATACCTTTCATGTAGGAAGTTAGCAGATAATAGGTAAGGCCGGGCATGGTAGCTCATGCCTGTAATCCCGGCACTTGGGTAGGCCAAGGCAGCAGGATCGCTTGAGCCCAGGAGTTCGAGACAGCCTGGGCAACATGGTGAGACCCTGTCTCCATAAAATTTTTTAAAAAATTGCCAGGTGTGGTCGTGTGTGCCTGTGAGGCTGAGGTGGGAGGCTCGCTTGAGCCCAGGGGTCAAGGCTGCAGTGAGCCATGACTGCACGCCACTGCACTCCAGCGTGGGTGACAGAGTGAGATACTGTATAAAAAAAAAAAGCTAAAACAAAACAAGAAGTATTATCTTAAGCATGTTATTTAGAAATATGGAGATAAATAAAAATAACTGAAAGTAGGTAGTTGCTTCTGAGGAGAGAAATTGGGAGTTGGCAAGAGAGTACTGTTTTTCAACCATGTAAATGTATTTGTTTTATTAAAAACAGATTAGAGGCAGGCGTGGTAATCCCAGCACTTTGGGAGGCCGAGGCGGGCAGAACATGAGGTCAGGACCATCCTGACCAACATGGTAAAACCCCGTATCTGCTAAAAATACAAAAATTAGCTGGGCGTGGTAGCACACGCTTGTAGTCCCAGCTACTCAGGAGGCTGAGGCAGGAGATTTGCTTGAACCTGGGAAGTGGAGGTTGCAGTGAGCTGAGAGTGCACTCCAGCTTGGCAGCAGAGTGGGATTCTGTCTCAAAAAAAAAAAAAAAAAAAAAAAAAAAAAGATGAGAAAAGACAGTCTCTACTGTTCAGATAGGAAGTAAAAACATAAATAGGTTTAAGTGCTAAGTGCTGTGAGAAAAGTAAAAAGAGTTCATTAAGAAGAGGCATACTTATCTGAGCCCACCCTGGGTAAGAGGGTGGAGGAGTAGGTTATGGAAAGCTTTCTGAAAGAGAGACATTTCCTAGTTATATTGTAGACAACATAAAGTATGATGCAATTAAACATCTTTTGGATTTCATGTATTTTTAAAGTGTGAACAATTAAAAATAATTCAGATTACTTTAAAAAAATCCATTTAACCCATTTATTGGGTGCCTACTTTGTATTAGGCACTGTGGTATGCCCAGAAGATGTAATGATAAGCAAAATCAGAAATGATTTCTTACCTCATAGACTTGAGAATCTCATGGGGAGACTGACACGAATCAGATTGTTCACTGTAAGACTGTACAGAAGTCCCTTCATTTCTGCTTTCAGGATCACTTTCAGGATCACTTCTTACAGCCATGGTTCATTAAGTGTGGCCCCCCAGTCCAGCCACATCAGCTGGGAGGATCGTCTTAGCCCAGGAATTCGAAGCTGTAGTGAGTTAGAATGGCATCACTGCACCCCAGCCTGGGTGACACAGGGAGACCCTGGCTCTGAAAAAAAAAAAAAAGTACTTTTTCTTGATAATTATTAAGATATAGTTGGTTATTTAAGGTTAGAATTTCATTTAATACCCATTTACCACATTCTAAAAATGTAACCAAGAACTAGAGGTTAGTTCTGATAATATTTTTTTCCATGATTTGAGGTTATTTGAATTCTATTATTTTTATTTGTTTCAACCAAGTAAAGTGTGCAGGGGAAGCAGTGAGCCTTCATTTCTTTTCTTTTTTTGAGACAAGTTCTGGCTCTTATCACCTAGCCTGGAGTGCAGTGGTGCTATCTCAGGTCACTGCAACCTCTCCCTCCTGGGCTCAAGCCATCCTCCTACCTCAGCCTCCCAAGTAGCTGAAACTACAGGCGCATACCACCACACCTGGCTAATTTATGTATTTTCTGTAGAGACAGGGTTTTACCATGTTGCCCAGGCTGGCCTCGAACTTGCGAGCTCAAGCAATCAGCCTACCTCAGCCTCCTATGCAGCTGAGATTACAGGTGTGAGTCACTGTTCCCAGCTGAGCCTTATCTTCAAAATACTCTCTCCTCCGAGAGAACTTCGTTTCTAGGAATTACATCTTTTTGGGGAAAATTTTGTACTCTTGATAGCTTCAAAGAAAAAATTGAAAATAGCAATTTTGTGATAAAATTTTTGAGGCAATAAGACATTGGCTACTCTTACAAGAAAAGATGTGGGGGTGATTATCGTTAATTATAACTTAATTGTACTTTTACAAATAAAGAGTGTAATTGGATTGTTTGTAACTCAAAGGATAAATGCTTGAGGGGATGGATACCCCATTCTCTATGATGCGCTTGTTTTACATTGCATGCCTGTACTGGAACATCTCTTGTACCCCATAAATATATACACCTACTGTGTACCCTTAAAAAGTAAAAAATAAAGGTGAGGAAGATGAGAAAATACAGTCTTTTTCATAACACATATTCCTATTAGCAATTTTTTTTTTTTTTTTTTTTTGAGATGGAGTCTCACTCTGTCACCCAGGCTGGAGTGCAATGGCGTGGTCTCGGCTCACTGCAACCTCCTATTAGTAATTTAAATGTATTTTTAGTTATATGAAAAATTACTCAAAGTAGCTGACGCAGTGACTCATGCCTGTAGTCCTAGCAGTTTGGGAAGCCGAGGCAGGAGGATTGCTTAAGCTCAGGGCTTCGAAACCAGCCTGGGTGAGATAGCGAAATCCTGTCTCTACAAAAAATACAAGAATTGGCTTGGCATGGTGGCACACACCTGTAGTCCCAGCTAGTTGGGTGGCTGAGATGGGAGGATTGCTTGAGCCTAGGGAGGTCAAGGCTGCAGTGAACCGTAATTGTGCCACTTTACCCCCCAACCTGAACGACAGAGCAAGACCATGTCTCAAGAAAGAAGAAGAAGAAAAAGATTACTCAAAATGAAAACCTGTCAATTTTCTGAGCCTGGGACTCTCCGGGTACATTGATCTATATTAGGTACATTGATTTTTTTCTTTTTTTAATCTTTGTAGCTTTTGTTTATGTATACAAACTTGATTTATGGAGTATTTTTTAAGTGGATGAATAAATTGTCTAAAATGTTTTACAAGCAAAATTGTGAATCAGCATTGTTATTTCAAATCTTTGTTGTTTTATGGCTTTTGTCAGATGACATCTACAAAATTATTAAAGAATCGTTATAGCAGACTAGCATTAAAAATTTAAAGATATTTTGGTTACTAGACAAGGTAAAACTAATCTTTTAGAAATATAACTCATTTTAATTTTTGAAACAGAGCTCATTTTAGTTGTTAAAGTGAGGAACCTGCAGCAGTTCTCACAAGAATTTAGAAATAGTCATATGTTTTGACAACTTTTCTGACAGTTATGTAAAACACCTTATCAAGAATAATAAAAGCAAAATGTATTAATTAAACAAATTCATATGTATAAAAATTAGGAGCAAAAGCATTCTTTTGCAGTTGTAAGTTTCTATAGCTTTTACTGGAAAATGTTAGTCAAAATATTAATGGTGAAAATGTAGTGTGGTTTAAAATTTTTTTTAATTAAAAAATTTTTAAATATACTTTGCTAGACTCCAACTGACACCATATCTAGTGTGGTTTTGACTTTAGTTTTCATTATAATAATTTAGAAAGAAGAACCTAATACATTTTTAAAGTAAAAGACAGTATTACTCTGGAAAAGCAAGGCAGAGAATGTAGAGGACTGCACTATAAAGAAGAATTATTGGCCAAGTGTGGTGGCTCATTCCTGTAATCCCAGTGCTTTGGGAGACTGAGATGGGAGGGTCACTTGAGGCCATGAGTTTGAGACAAGCCTGAGCAACATAGTGAGACTTTGTCTCTACAACAAAAAAAAATTAGCCAGGTGTGGTGGTGTGCGCCTGTGTTCTTAGTTGCTTGGGAGGCTGAGGCAGGAGGATCATTTGAGCCCAGGAGTTCCAGGCTGCAGTGAGTGATTATTAAAGAGTGAACTCTTTATTTTAGGTAGGATTTTTTTGTTTATATGATGTAAAGTTATATGATAGAGATGTTTACCTAAATTTGTAATTTAGTAAATCAACCAAGTAAAATCAAAGATGGTACATTTTAATTCTATGCAGTTTGCTTTTGCTGGCAGAAGGACTCTAATTTTTATTCATATTATTAATGTTTGTTTAGAAACGGATCTGAATTTAAGGTGTATAGGGCAAAGTGAATAGTAAAAAACATCCTGATTTTTTAATAAAATCACTTTTTTTTTTTTTTTTTGAGACAGGGTCTCACTCTGTTGCCCAGACTGGAATGCAGGAATGCAATCTTGGCTCACCGCAACCTCTGCCTCCTGGTCTCAAGCGATCCTCCCACCTCAGCCTCCTAAGTAGCTGGGACTACAGGCGCATGCCACAGTGGCCGGCTAATTTTTGTTTTCTTTGTAAAGATGGGGTTTCACCATGTTGTCCAGGCTGGTCTTGAACTCCTGGACTCAATCCGCCAGCCTCGGCCTCCCAAAATGTTGGGATTACAGGTGTGAGCCATGTGCCTGGCCTTGACATTATTATTATTATTATTATTATTTTTTTCGAGATGGAGTCTTGCTCTGTCACCCAGGCTGGAGTGCTGTGGCGCGATCTCAGTTCACTGCAACTTCCGCTTCCCGGGTTCAAGCAATTCTCCCGCCTCAGCCTCTTAAATAGGTAGGATTTTACAGGCGCCCACCACTGTACCCGGCTAATTTTTGTATTTTTAGTAGAGACGGGGTTTCACCATGTTGGCCAGGCTGGTCTCGAACTCCTGACCTTGTGATCTGCCCACCTCGGCCTCCCAAAGTGCTGGGATTACAGGCGTGAGGCACCATGCCTGGCTGACATTATTTTTTAGAACACTTTTAGGTTCACAGCAAAATTGAGCAGAAAGTGCAAAGTTGCCATATATACCCTGCATCCACACATGCATAGCCTCCCCCACTTTCAACATCTGGCACCAGAGTAGCATGTTTATTACAGTGGATGAACCTACATTGGCCCGCATTGATACCTTATCACCCAGTGTCTATAGTTTACTTTAGGGTTCATTCTTGGTAATGTGCATTTTGTATCATTATACAAATGTGTAATGACAGATATTCACTATTATAGTGTCATAGAGATTATTACTATTACTTTTGTTTTTTTTTAAACTCTTAAGTTCCTTTTTGTTGTTGTTGTTTTTGAGACAGAGTCTTACTCTGTGGCCCAGGCTGGAGTGCAGTGGTGCGATCTTGGCTCACTGCAACCTCCGCCTCCTGGGTCCCGGTTCAAGCAATTCTCCTGCCTCAGCCTCCCGAGTAGCTGGGATTACAGGCATGTGCCACCACGCCCAGCTGATATTTGTGTTTTTAGTAGAGACAGGGTTTCACTATGTTGGTCAGGCTGGTCTTGAACTCCTGACCTCGTGATCCGCCCGCCTTGGCCTCCCAAAGTGTTGGGATTACAGGCATGAGCCATTGCACCCGGCCCCTGTTGGTTTTTAAAGTATACTTCAGCGAATTCATTTGAACCCGTTTTTACTTCAAGGTGGAGAAAGTCTATTGTTTTCCCATATTTAGAGAGTCAAGTTTGAGGTAAGTTCGAGGTAGGCTAGAGGTACAAATAGATGCTAGTTGGTGGTAAAGTCTTGTGGGCAAGATTTTACCATTTAGGATTCCATAAACGGATTCATTTATAGCACATAAAGATTGGGATTCTCCATCTTTGAGATGGAGTTTCGTTCCTTCTTGTTGCCCAGGCTGGAGTACAATGGCATGATCTTGGCTCACTGCAACCTCTGCCTCCCGGGTTCAAGTGATTTTCCTGTCTCAGCCCCTGAGTAACTGGGATTACAGGCGCACGCCACCATGCCTGGCTAATTTTTGTATTTTTAGTAGAGGTGGGATTTTATCATATTGGTCAGGCTGGTCTCGAACTCCTGACCTCAGGTGATCCACCCACCTTGACCTCCCAAAGTGCTGGGATTACAGGCATGAGCCACCACACCCAGCCAAGATTGGAATTCTTGTGTTTTCTTTATTCTGTTTCCTTTCATGTTAATTGTGATACATTCAATTGCAAGTTTTAGTTTTCTATTGAAATTCTTAAAGAAATATGAGACAACCTTTACTTCTAAAATTCTTTATTTTGGTGCTGTTTTACCACAATTACATTAGAATTCCCTTGATGAGCATTTGGCTATTTACCTAGTGCACTGTAACTCCTTCTCATATAGTTTTCTGAGTTTTGTCTTTTTTTTTTTTTTTAACAATTTCTTCAGTTTTTAGAACAAGTTTAAAAAATTGTTTTTTAATGTCTAACCATAAAAAATTGTTTTTGCATTTTAAATAACAGATTTTTCTCTTTTTTTTAACCCAATAGTTTGCTTGCCTAAACTGGACTTGAAGCAATTTAAACTACTGGAGATCTGCCATTTTATAATATCACAATTGGAAAGAAACAGATTTTCAAATAATGGAAGAGTCTAAAACCTTAAAAAGTGAAAATCATGAACCAAAGAAGAATGTTATTTGTGAAGAAAGCAAAGCAGTTCAAGTTATAGGTAATCAAACATTGAAAGCTAGAAATGATAAATCCGTAAAAGAAATTGAGAACAGCTCTCCAAATAGGAATAGTAGTAAAAAAAATAAGCAAAATGATATTTGTATAGAAAAAACAGAAGTTAAATCATGTAAAGTAAATGCTGCCAACCTTCCAGGTCCTAAAGATTTGGGGTTAGTCCTTCGAGATCAAAGTCATTGCAAAGCAAAAAAATTTCCTAATTCACCGGTGAAAGCCGAAAAGGCAACCATTTCACAGGCAAAATCAGAAAAGGCAACCAGTTTACAGGCAAAAGCAGAAAAATCACCAAAGTCACCTAATTCAGTGAAAGCAGAAAAAGCATCCAGTTATCAGATGAAGTCAGAAAAAGTACCAAGTTCACCAGCAGAAGCAGAAAAGGGACCCAGTTTACTGTTGAAAGACATGAGACAGAAGACAGAATTACAACAGATTGGAAAAAAAATTCCAAGCTCCTTTACTTCTGTGGACAAAGTGAATATTGAAGCTGTAGGGGGAGAAAAATGTGCTCTGCAAAACTCACCACGATCTCAGAAGCAACAGACATGTACAGATAATACTGGTGATTCTGATGATAGTGCTTCAGGAATTGAAGACGTATCGGACGATTTAAGTAAGTCATTTTTTGGAGGGATTTTTGTATATTAATGTTCTTTAGATTATCCCCGGTTTAACCATTTTAATTACAAAAAGTCATGTTTATACATAATTGTTTAGCACTTTTGTTCCCGTATGAAAACATCCACATTAATAATACTTGCATTAATGGTTTCTTACTAGATTGATCCTTGGTGAAGCTAAAAAAAAAAAGCCTTTTCATTTATTATGGTAGGTACAAAGACTGTGCAAATAAAAATTTAGTATCTTCTTTAGTTGGTACACACATGCTCGTACACATACACACTCTTGTTTAAATGGTCTTGATAAGGTATTGCTCATTCATTCACCAAATATGTATGTATTGAGTTCTTCTTATATATATATCAAGCATTTGTTTACAATGGAAAACCAAAACAAACAAACAAAAAAACCCATAGCCCTAAACTTCAAGGAAGCTTCCAGTCTGATAGGAGGGTGGTACAGATAAACAATGATTTTCAGTGCCAAAAACTTAATTGAAGTTGAGAGAGCACATGATTAAATAGTGAGATTTAGACTTTGGGCAGACAAAATAGGTGATATAAATTGTGAGACTGAGTATTACTGAGACTTAGTACGGCTGGAGCAGAAAGTTGAGGTTGAGAACGGCAAAAGATGCAGCTGAAAGGGAACACAGGAATATCAGGGCCTTCTAAGCCATGCCAGAAAGTTTGGACTTTATCCTGAGTATTTTCAGAAGCCATTGAAGAATTTTTTTTTGTTTTTTGTTTTCTGAGACAGAGTCTTACTGTGTTGCCCAGGCTGGAGTGCAGTGGTGCGATCTCCACTCACTGCAACCTCCGCCTCCCAGGTTCAAGCAATTCTGTCTCAGCCTCCTGAGTAGCTGGGACTATAGGCACGTGCCACCATACCTGGCTAACTTTTTTATTTTTAGTAGAGACGGGATTTCACCATATTGGCCAGGCTGTTCTTGAACTCCTGACCTTTTGATCTGCCTGCCTTGGCCTCCCAAAATGCTGGGATTACAGGCATGGAAGAGTTTTTTTTTTTTTGAGATGGAGTCTCGCTCTGTCACCCACGCTGGAGTGCAGTGGCGCAATCTTGGCTCACTGCGAGCTCCCCCTCCCGGGTTCACGCCATTCTCCTGCCTCAGCCTCTCCGAGTAGCTGGGAGTACAGGCGCCTGCCACCAAGCCTGGCTAATTTTCTGTATTTTTAGTAGAGACGGGGTTTCACCGTGGTCTCAATCTCCTGACCTCGTGATCCGCCTGCCTCGGCCTCCCAAAGTGCTGGGATTGCAAGCGTGAGCCACTGTGCCCGGCCTTTGGAAGAGTTTTAAGTAAAGTAATGCTGTGATCAGATTTTTAAAAAAATCCTTTTGAGTATAATGCAGGAAATTCTTTGATAGGAACAGGACTGGAAGCAGGGATTGGTTAGGACACTTAGAGTTTACTTTGAGAACTGTTGTAAAATTCATTTTGTTGTGGGATCCTGATTTTAGTTTTAATTGTTTAGAAATATTGTCTATGTCTTTTGAGTAACTTTAATCCTGATTTTGTTTAAATTAAATAATTTCTTTTATAATCTTTTTTTCCTAGTGTTTTCATGGCTGGAAAAATACAGCGTTATCTTGATGTAGAAATAAAAAGAACCTATTTCTGAATCATTATTTGCCACACTTTGAGAAACACTGGTAAAGAATTCTGAAATAGCTTGTTTTTATTTCTTGTGGTACACAGATGATGGTATATCGACAGACTTAAAAGAATTTTAATAGAGTTGACTTTATGTGTCTCAGTCTCAATTGTATATTAAGGCTGAGGGCAAGGCCAAATTTAAAAACTAAGTCAGTTTAGAGACAGAATCAAATAAGTGATAATACTGGTAATGTTTAGATATGGGAAAAATGTAAACATCATGGTACTTGAATGATTCAGGAAATAGTGGTGGTTTTTTTTTTTGTTTTGGTTTGGTTTTGTTTTTGAGACAGGGTTTTGCTCTGTCACCCCGGCTGGAGTGCAGTGGTGTGAACTTGGCTCCACTGCAACTTCTGCCTCCCACGTTCAAGCAATTCTCCTGCATCAGCTGGGACTACAGGTGTGCGCCACCATGCCTGGCTAATTCTATATTTTTAGTAGAGACTGGGTTTCACTGTGTTGGCTAAGCTGGTCTTGAACTCTTGGCCTCAAGTGATACCCCCACCTTGACCTCCCAAAGTGCTGGGATTACAGGCATGAGCCACTACACCGGGCCAGTAAATAGTGGTGTTTAAGGTCACTTAATTGGCCAGGCGCGGTGGCTCATGCCTGTAATCCCAGCACTTTGGGACGCCGAGGTGCATGGATCACCTGAGGTCAGGAGGTCGAGACCAGCCTGGCCAACATGGTGAAATCCCATCTCTACTAAAAATAGAAAAATCAGCCGGGTGTGGTGGCACATGCCTGTAATCTAAGCTACTCGGGAGGCTGAGGCAGGAGAATTGCCTGAACCAAGGAGATGGAGGTTGCAGTGAGCCAGGATCGCGCCACTGCACTCCAGCCTGGATGACAGAGCGAGAGTCTGTCTCAAAAAAAAAAAAAAAAAAAAAAAGATAGTTAAGGGTCTTGTTATTTGAATTGGTGAAAAACATGATTTAAAGATTATTTATTTTTTGAGACAGAGCTTCACTCTGTTGTCCAGGGTGGAGTGCAGTGGTGTGATCTAGGCTCACTGCAACCTCTGCCTCTGAGTTCAAGCGATTCTCCTACCTCAGCCTCCCAAGTAGCTGGGACTGTAGGCGCCTGCCACCACGCCCAGCTAATTTTTGTATTTTTACTGGAGATGGGGTTTCGCCATGTTGGCCAGGCTGATCTCAGACTCCTGACCTCAGGTGATCCGCCTGCCTCAGCCTCCCAAAGTGCTGGGATTACAGGCATGAGCCACTGCCCTGGCCAAAGATTATTTTCTTTTAAAGTCAACAAAATAATTGAGATGACATAGAGAGATAGTTAAGAATATGGGCTCTGGAGTGAAATTGCATGGGTTTTGAATTCCAGCTTCTTTACTTACTTTGTAACCTTCAATAAACTGCTTATCACTGAAAAATATGTTTTCTCATTTTTAAAAAAGTGGAGATGCTGCTGCCTATGTTATGAAGATTAAGTGAAATAATCCAGTAGAGGGTTTCATGTAGTACCGGACACGTGGGCATGCAATGGCAATGACTATCACTTATTATATTACTCCAATTAAATGCAGTTTTTACTTGTTAACATGGAGAATGAGTTGAACTAGTTTCAGGAAGCTAGCTTAAGGAAGCTAGTAGACCAAGTAGAGGTTCTTTTGGGAAACTTGGTATAACAAATTAATAAAAATGATTTGTAGTATACAGTCATTTTTCATAAGTAAGTGCTTCTCATGTTTTAAAGAATTCTCTTTAAATTCATGTATAATATGATATGTATAGTATTAGCCTTGAAGTCATGTTTATACGTAATTGTTTAGCACTTCTTTTTTTCCCATATGAAAACATCCAAATTAATAATGTTTGAATTAATGATTTCTTATTAGATTGATTCTCAGTGAAATAAATACAGTAAAACCTTTATATCTAGATCATTATCTTTTTTTTTGGAGACAGAGTCTTGCTCTTTTGCCCTGGCTGGAGTGCAGTGGTATGATCTTGGCTCACTGCAACCTCCACCTCCCGGGTTCAAGTGATTCTCCTGCCTCAGCCTCCTGAGTAGCTGGGATTTACAGGTGCATGCCACCACACCTGGCTAATTTTTGTATTTTTAGTAGAAATGGGGTTACACCATGTTGATCAGGCTGGTCTTGAACTCCTGACCTTGTGATCCACCCACCTTGGCCTCCCAAAGTGCTGGGATTACAGGCGTGAGCCACTGTGTCCAGCTGTCTTTTTTTTGTTGTTTTTTGAGACAGAGTCACCCTGTCACCCAGGCTGGAGTGCAGTGGCGCGATCACAGCTCACTGTAACTTCTACCTCCTGGGCTTAAGTGATTCTTGTCCTTCAGCCTCCTGAGTAGCTGGGACTGCAGGCGTGTACCACTACACCCGGCTAATTTTTGTATTTTTAGTAAAGATGGGGTTTCACCATGTTAGCCAGGCTGGTCTTGAACTCCTGACCTCAAGCCATCTGCCTGCCTCGGCCTCCCAAAGTGCTGGGATTATAGGCATGAGCTACCATACATGGCTAGATCATTATCTATTTGGACTTGATAGGTTATATAGAAATTTGATTGATCTCAGTCTTCTCCATTAGGCCTAACTTCAGCTCCCACCTGGCACATCATTTTTCTTTTTGTCATTTATTCATTCATTCAATAAAATTTTGTTTTTTGGTGTCCACTACATGCCAGGAACTGAACTAGTCATTAGGAATATATAAGTGATGGAACCGATAATTCCACTCTTATGGAGTTAATCTTCTAGTGGGATGAAACAGATAACAAACACAATAAATAAGAAAAATATGTAGTAAGTTGGCCGGGCACGGTGGCTCACGCCTGTAATCCCAGCACTTTGGGAGGCCGAGGCAGGCGGATCACCTGAGGTCAGGAGTTCAAGACCAGCCTGGCTAACATGGTGAAATCCCGTTTCTACTAAAAATACAAAAAACTAGCCAGGTATGGTGGCGTGTGCCTGTAGCACCAGCTACTCGGGAGGCTGAGGCAGGAGAATTGCTTGAACCTGGGAGGCGGAGGTTGCAGTGAGCTGAGATCGCGTCATTGCACCCCAGCTTGGACACCAAGAGCGAAACTCCATCTCAAAAAAAAAGAAAATAAAATATAGAGAGTAAGTTAAGTAAGGTGGTTTTAAATCCTTTGAGAAAAATGAAATAGGAACGACATAGGGAATGATGCTACTGTTGGTATTGGTGGAGTTAAAGTGTCAATGAGAAAGTGACATTAGAGCAAATACTTGAAGGAAAGAGGTGAACCAGCCAGGTGAATATTTGAGGAGAGAGTGTTCTTGATCTGGGTTTCTCAAACTTTAATGTGTATATGAATTGTTTGGGATTCATATTAAAATGCAGAGTCTTGGGTCTCATTTCCAGAGTGTTTTGATTCAGAAAGCCTAGGATAAGGCCTGATAAATTGGATTTCTAATAAGCTCCCAAGTGATGCTGATGCTGCTGGTCAAGATAATGCTTTCAAGCAGCCTGCACCAACTCATCTTACTTTCACTTACATCACCCTTCATTGTGTTTTCAGTATAGTAAGCAGAATGATCCTGTTAAAATGAGTCAGATCACATTACTAGTATTTAGAGTGTTTCAGTGGCTTTCCATCCATCAGAGTAAAAGCTAGTGTTCTTACAGTGGCTAGTAGAGCCTTACACGATCTGTGACACTCCCCTATTTCTCTGCCTTGCCCTCATTTGTTTACTTCTCACCCTTTCTCTCTGCTCCATCCGCATAGTTTTCTTGAATTTCCTCAACTGAGAAGATAGATATCCATATGAGGAACTTTGCATTTGCTTTTTCCTCTGCGTCAAACACTCATTCCCCAAATGTCCATATGGCTAGCTCTCTTAAACTTCCTTTGCCTTCTTTTTTTGAGATAGGGTCTCACTCTGATGCCCAGGCTGGAGTGCAGTGGCGTGATCTCAGCTCACTTCAACCACCGCCTCCCGGGTTCAAGCAATTCTCCTGCCTCAGCCTCCCAAGTAGCTGGGATTTATATGTCATAAAATTCATCCTTTTAAAGTATATACTTCTGTCTTGCTGTTGGGTCAATTTTTTTTATTTAAAAAATCTAAGTATTCAAGGCCAGGTGCAGTGGCTCGCGCCTGTAATCCCAGCACTTTGGGAGGCAGAGGCGAGTGGATCACCTGTGGTCAGGGGTTCGAAAACAGCTTGGCCAACATGGCGAAACCCCGTCTCTACTAAAAATACAAAATTAGCTGGGCGTGGTGGCGCATGCCTGTAATCCCAGCTTCTTGGGAGGCTGAGGCAGGAGAATCGCTTGAACCTGGGAGGCAGAGGTTGCAGTGAGCCGAGATTGCACCACTGCACTCCAGTCTGGGCAACAAGAGCGAAACTCCGTCTCAAAAAAAAAAAAAGAATATTTTACTAAAAATCTAAGTATTAAGTGTTCAGTAGTTTTTATTATATTCACAAAATTGCGCTGCCATCACTATCTAATTCTGAACATTTTCATCACTCTACAAAGAAACTCCATACCCATTAGCAGTCACTATTCATTACCCGCTCCTCCTCCCCACTGACAACCATGAATCTACTTTCTTTCTCTTTAGATGTACCTATTTTATATAAATGAAATAATACAATATGTGGCCTGTTGTGCCTGCCTTATTTGGCTTAGCATATTTTTTTCAAAGTTAATTCATGTTATGGCATGTATTAGTACGTCATTCCCTTTTATTGCCGAATAGTATTGCATTATATGGATATATTACATTTTGTTTGTCCATTCATCAGTTGATGGATATTTGGATTGTTTCCATCTTTTGATTATTCTGAATAATGCTGTTCTGAACATTTGTGTAAAAGTTTTTGTGTGGATGTATGTTTTCATTTTTTCAGTATATATATTTAGAAATGGAATTGCTAGTTGTATGCTAACTCTATATTTAAGTTTTTTGGTGATAAATACATGTAAGATTTTACCATCTTAACCATTTTAAAGTATACAATTCAGTGACACTAAGTACATTCACAGTGTTGCACAGTCATAACTAGTGTCTAATTTCATCATCCCAAAAGGAAACCCCATGCCCATTAAGAGTTACTCCCCATTCCCCACTTTCCCCAGCCTCTGGCAACTACTAATACACTTTCTGTTTCTATGTATTTGCCTATTCTAAATATTTCATAGAAATGAAATCATACAATATGTGGTCTTCTGTGTCTGGCTTTCATTTAGTGTCATGTTTTTAAGGTTTATCCATGTTGTAACGTGTATCAGTACCTCATTCCTTTTTAAGGCTGTTGTTATGGACTGGATTATGTCCCCTCCCAAATTCATATGTTGAGGCCCTAACCTCCAACATAATTGTATTTGGAAACAGGGCTTTGAGGTGGTAATTAAGGTTAAATGAGGTCATAATGGTGAGGTCCTAATCTGGCCTTATAAAAAAGGAGAAGAGAGAACCTCTGTCCTATAAGGAAAGGCCATGTGAACACACAGCAAGAAGGTGGCTGTTTGCAACCCAGGAGAGAGCCCTCACCAGACAGTGACCTTGCTGACACCTTGATCTTTGACTTTCCAGTCTCCAGAACTATGAGAAAATAAATTTCTGTTGTTTAAGCCACCCAGTCTGTAGTATTTTGTTGTGGCAGCCTGAGCTGACTATGACACCTGAATAATATTCCATTGTATACCAATGCCACATTTTGTTTATCCATTCATCAGAAATGGGTTTTTGGATTGTTTCCATCTTTGGCTATTGTGAATATTCTATGAACATTCATGTACAAGTATTTGTGTGGATACAGGTTTTCAATTCTTGTTTTGTGAGAGTATTAACATGTAATGAACTATTGTTTTTGGAACACAATTTAGGACGTTCTGCCTGGTATTATTTTGTTTTATATGTTGATTCCAGAAAATTAAATAATTTCATATATTTCTGACTTTTGAAGAAAGGCAGCTTTCTCTAATTCTTTGTGTTAGCAGAAACGATACTTTTACAAGATTTGCTGATGTTGGTTACCTTGTCACACAAGGCCAGTTATAAATATGGAAAAGAGAAGAAGGTTACATTATTAGATTGTCTTCTTACCATCCTTTTTCATGAAAAGTAGAAATAATACTAGGATTTCATCTTTTCTTCTACATTTCCATAATAAAATGGTTACTAAAAAACTAAATCATTTTTCCAAATATTAGTACATAATTGCAAGTTGCTTATAGTGCATCAATATTCCTCCAACTGTAATTTAAGAAACACTTATGTAACCTAGCCATACTTCTCATGTTTGAGTCCTTTTTATAACATCCTTATCTGAGTTTGCCTTCCTAGTCTAGAAACTCCTGTGCTCTTGTGGTAGGAAATGCACCATCTCCAGAGGCATACCATTTCTTTGTTCAGAAAATTAGTGCTATCAAAAGGTAGGCTTGACTGTCAGGGTTCCTCTAGATGCCATGCAATTTTGAGGACAGAATGCCATGCAATTTTGAGGACAGGCTTTTGAGGACAGAATGGAGAGATTTGTTGATGATCTATGAGCATTTCTTTTTTGAAATACTTGTAGATACATCCAGATTCATTTATTTATTCAACATGACACAGAGCATTAGCTCAGATCTAGGCATTGTATTAAAATCTGAAGGTAAAAGTAAGACCCCGGTCATTAGCATCAAGAAATCCGTCATCTAATGTAGGGGACAGATACATGAATACAAATTCCATTACTCTGTAAATGTGAGATAATAGAGGGTAATAGAACAAGAGAATGTCAGACTGGCTTATGGAAACAAGTGGTGCTTAAGCTGAATTTTGAAGGACAGGTAAATATTAATGGGGGAGCATCAATGGAGAAGGGAGTAGCATATGTAAAGATATTGAGACTTGAAGCAGCTTTGGTGATTAATTCTGGCACATTTAATATGAAGTGAAAAGTGTCGTGGCAAGATCTGAGGTTGGAGTTACAGGTAAGTTAGCTAGATTTTTTTCTTTAGGTTTTGGCTTAAATGATAACTCCTCAGAGAAGCCTTCTCTGGCTCCCATATCTAAAGTTGGTCTCCCTCTCAGTTCCTTGCTTTTTTCCTTTGTAACATTTATTACAACTTGGAATTATTCTGTTTACTGCCTTCATGAGGTCAAGGGACTGTGCGTAATATGCTAGGGAGTTAAAACTTTATTCTGAACTCTTCAAAAGCCATTTATGTGTTTTAAGCAAGAGAATAAGGTGATTTGGTTTATATTTTAAAAATCGCGCTGGTGGGAGAACCTACTGTAGGTTAGATACATACTGCTAGATGCTGCAGATGCAAAGGTGAAAACATAGTCTGTGCCTCAAAGAGATTACAATCTAGTTAGGAGGCAGAGAAGCAAAGGAAAACCATTAATGTAGTGGAGATATCCAGGAGTTCTGTGGAAGGAAAGAAGAAGGAGCCTTGTGTGGGTTTGTGGTCTGGAGTATACATATGTTGTTTTAATTGCTAGTGAATTTAGTTCAGTGACTAATCTTCTTTGAGTGGGACTCCAAACAGTTTTTTTATCAGATTGACTTCAGAGATTCTCCAAGATGATTATGTTATATTAGCTTTGTGTAATTAGCTTTGTGTAATGTAAGTCTCAGTTATGTATCTCTTGATGGATAGATTGGAAGAACAAGCTAGTCATTTGACCCATAAAGGTTTTTCTTTGTGACTTTGGATACCATGTCTACCTCTTACCTATATTTTATATATGCATACCAACTTGTATACTTTCCTAAGGAAAATATAAGGAAATAATATTTTTTCTGTGTATAAATTTAATGTCTGTTTTCCATTAAAAAATTTAAAAATTTACCAGTTCTGATGATAACTGAGTGATTGCTTTCTTTTCTAGGTAAAATGAAGAATGATGAATCTAATAAAGAAAATTCTTCAGAGATGGACTACTTAGAAAATGCCACTGTGATAGATGAATCTGCATTGACACCTGAGCAGAGGCTGGGGTTGAAACAAGCAGAAGAACGCTTAGAAAGAGATCACATCTTTCGACTTGAAAAAGTATACTATGTTGTTTTAGTTATTTGGGGGGAAATGTGTGTTTCATAACTGTTTTCCCCAAGTACAGCTTTTTTTATTTTTCTTTTATTCATAAGACAGAGGTTGCATTCATCTTTCCTTACTTCCCTCTTCTCTACCTTTCTTCTTCTTTCCCTCTTTTCTTCCTTGCCTCTCTTTTTCAGCAGTTACTTATTATCTGTGAGTCTGACTTCATTCATCCCAAGAGTTGGCAAACTATGGTCTATCCCTTGCTTTTGTTTTTGAATGGGTTAAAATACACCTAGTCTCCCCACCGTTTTTGGTAAACATTTTATTGGAATATAGCCATGCCTATTTGTTTACATGTCGTTTATGGCTACTTTCATGCTACGATGGGAAATTTGAGTTGAGTAGTTGTCACAGAGCTTATATGGCTTGAAAAGCATAAAATATTTAGTCTTTGCCAAAGCATAAAATGTCTACCAAAATATTTATTCGCCCCTTTATAGACGAAACTTGCTGACCTCTGATTTAGGCACTCATCAAATAGACACTGAGCACTTGTTTTGTGCCAGGTATTCTGATAGGCACTGGGGATGTATTGGTGAAAATGGCAGTTTCTTCCCATTAGAAGTTAAAAGTCCATTCAGATTGATGGAAATAAAATAGCATTTTATTTATTGAACCTGTATTTATTGAACATTAACTGCGTAATAGGAACTATCCTAGCCATTGGTATCTTATTCCTGTGTATTAATTTCTTAATCTAGAAATACACATTCCTGGCCTCAATAAAAACACTGCTAGGTTTTGAAGGAAAGAATCACAAATCACGGCCAGGCCCAGTGGCTCACGCCTGTAATCCCAGCATTTTGGGAAGCCGAGGTGGGCAGGTTGCTTGAGGTCAGGAATTCGAGACCAGCCTGACCAACATGGTGAAACCCCGTCTCTACTAAAAATACAAAAATTAGCGAGGTGTGGTAGTCGGTACCTGTAGTCCCAGCTACTTGGGAGGCTGAGGCAGGAGAATTGCTTGAACCCAGGGGGCAGAGGTTGCGGTGAGCCAAGATTGTGCCACTGCACACCAGCCTGGGCGACAGAGCAAGACTCCATCTCAAAAAAAAAAAAAAAAAATCACAAATAAAACTATTGACAAACAGATACTTGGGTTATTTGTAAATATGCTTACAAGGAAATAGGTCATCATTCTTGATAAATAAGGAAAGAAATGGTATGATTTTGTATAGTTTAGAAAAATGAAATTATATCTAGATTGAACAAGACAATCCTGGGTTATTAATAGAACTTACAGCAGAGTAGTCGCCACATGAAAAGAGAAAGGAATATCAAGAAGTAGAGGACCATAATACAGGAGAGAGTTTGGGTTGTATAGTTAGTATTACAAGATCCTAGTTAAAAGGAAGTCTTTTTTGCAATTTGCTCTTATACTTTTTGTTTTGTTTTGTTTTTTGAGACAGAGTCTCGCTCTGTTGCCCAGGTTGGAGTACATTGGCATGATCTCAGCTCACTGCAACCTCTACCTCCTGGGTTCAAGCAATTCTCCTGCCTCAGCCTCTTAAGTAGCTGGTATTACAATTGTGCGCCACCATGCCTGGCTAATTCTTGTATTTTTAGTAGAGACGGGGTTTCACTATATTGGCCAGTTTGGTCTCGAACTCCTGACCTCAAATGATCCACCCACCCTGGCCTCCCAAAGTGCTGTGATTATAGGCAGGAGCCACCGTGCCCGGCCTTTTACTTAGTTATGTCTTTACTTAGTTCTTTCACTTTTCCTCTGGAATTAGTAAATTTCTGGATGACATCTCAACTGACCTTGGATAAATCTCTATCACTGGAACCTGATTCTATCTCCTTATTTATAATATAATAAAGATTGACCTACCTGGTAAAATAATTCAATTCTGTTCATCTTTATTTAGTACTTAATACATAGCAGATTTTGTGCCAAAAACTTTACTTGTGTTATTTAATCCTCATAACAGCCCTATGCGCTAGGTGTTATAATTTTGTCCATTGTCAGAATAAATATTGAGTGCCTTTTATGTGCCATGATCTAGTACCTGACGTTTTAAAAAACGTGATTGCTTTTCTAGGAGTTCACTAGAGAAAGACACATAAGCAAATAAGAAAATAAGCAGAGAACTGGTTGGGAAGTTACATAGGAGTGAAGCAGGAAAGGTCAGTTGTTATTGAAAGAAGGAAGAAGTTGGGATGCAATAGGTATTTGATGGTAGTAGGAAAAATGGCCTGGGGTGAAAATAAAGCTTGGAAGCATTGGAAAACATTTTATTTGTTGTTCAATTTATATAGTCAGTAATGATGTAAAGTTACTGTGCCAGTACCAGCGTAGATATTTGTAATCCCTTTTCTTTCTACCTCTTTATTTCTCATGCCCTCCAAACTTATTTTCAATTCATTGTACTCTTTTTTTTTTTTAAATTATTTGGCCTCTTGAACTTGGTACAATTCATTGTACTTTTTTTTTTTTTTTTTTTTTGAGACAGGGTCTCATTCTGGTTGCCCAGGCTGAATTGCAGTGGTTCAGTAATGGCTCATTGCAGCCTTGACCTCCCAGGCTCAGGTACCTAAGTCTCCCGAGTAGCTTGGGACTACAGGCATGTGCCACCAAGCCTGCTAGTTTTTTGTATTTTTTTAGAGATGGTGTTTTGCCAGGTTGCCCGGACTGGTCTCGGCCTCCCAACGTGCTGAGTTTACAGGTGTGAGCCACAGTGCTCGGGCAAATTCATTGTACTTTTTTTTTTTTTTTTGAGACAGGGTCTCATTCTGTCTCCCAGGCTGGAGTGCAGTGGCGCGGTCTCGGCTCACTGCAACCTCTGCCTCCCAGTTTCAAGTGATTCTCATGCCTCAGCCTCCCAGGTAGCTAGGACTACAGGCATGCGCTACCACAACTGGCTTGTCCTCTTAAGTAACATTTTTCTTTATCAAATTTAGACACTCATTAAGAATATTCCCAGGTTTTTGTTTTTTTTTTATTTCTTCAGGTCCTTTAGTTCAGTGTTTCCATAGATTATCTAATTGAGGAATAAAGATGTAGACTGTAGACTTTTGCTCTGTACCAAAGAAGAAATAAGTCCAAACCATTAGATCAGAAGGCTAAATTTTCCTATGGTTGAATGTTAAATATTGAGTTGGAAATACCCAGAAATCTTTGTTCTAGCTTGTTTGCAGAAAGGTAAAGATTTACTAGTTGGTTTATTTAACAGTAGAATAAAATATAATAAACAGTGTTTAACTTTTTTTATGTATTTTTTTTCTGTGAAACTAGAAAGTTTATGATGATGAGAGCAGTTTTGTCTGATTTGATGTTGTGCCCAATATGTGCCTTGCACGAAGTGGTTGGTTGGTAATTAGACTGTGCACAGTGGTCAAGTGCGTGGATTTTGGAGTCATTGGGTCTAGCTCTGCCACTTATTGGTTGGATAACCTTGGATAAATTATTTAAATTCTTTAAACATCAGTTTACTCATCAGTAAAATGGGATTGATAACAATTATAACACCTAGCTCATAGGACTATTATGAGGATTAAATAAGATAATACAAGTAAAGTTTTTAGCACAAGTCCTGGTATGTAGTAAGAAATAAAGATGAGCTACTTGTAGAACTGAATTATTTTTACCAGGTGGGGCAGTTTTCTATTATAAATAAGGAGATAGAATCAGGCTGTAGTGATACAGCTTTATCCAAGGTCAGTTGAGATGTCCTCTGATGCCTTCTGACTCCCCATTCTGTGTAATACCAAGATTTTCTTGGTAGACTTGTCTTTGGTCTGCTAACATTTTACAATTGAAAAGTTTATATGATTGATTTCATGACTTCCTTAGTGACCTCATCAGTACACAGGGCTTTAGGTATTCTGTATGTATGCTTTCAACTCCTGAAAGCAACTCTTTTTACCACCTTCACCACTCTCACCTTGAACTAAGCCAACATAATCTCTTTTTTGGATTATTGAATTATGCTGTTAACTGCAATAGCCTTTCCTGCTTCTATTCTCAATATAGAAAGCAAATGATCCTTTTAAAATATAAATTAGATCTTGTAATTCTCTGCTCATAAACCTTCAATGGCTTTCCCTCATACTTAGAATAAAAGCCAGAGTCTTCACAAGGGATTTTGTGATCTGTCCCCTATTAGCTCTCTGTTCCCAGTTATGCTAACTTTTTTGTAGTTTCTCAAATATTTTAGGTACCTTCCTGCCTCAGGGCCTTGGCATTCACTTTTCCCTCTGCTTGAAATGTGTCTTTTCAGATATCCACACAGCTTAATCCTTCACTTCCTTAAAGTTACTTTATCAATAAGGTCTTAAGTGATGTCTCTACTTTTAAAAAGCAGTAACTCCCCCGACCCCAGGCATATTTGTGCATTTGTTTATTACCTGTCTCCTTACACTGTAACGTAAATTCATATAGACAGGGATTTCTATTTTATTTACTGCTCTTATCCCCAGCTCCTAGAAAAATGTTTGCTGTATAATATGAGCTCAATATATTTGATGAGTAAAGAAGTAGTTGTTTTGAAACTAAGAGGTAGCGTTTTCTTTGAGGACTTAATTCATTCTCCAGTAGGAACTGATTTGACAGAATTTTTATGCTAGAGAATTGAAATAACTAGATTGAGCCAACTTTTCTTATTTACTTGTTGCCTTGGGCAAATTAATCCCTGAGATTTAGTTTGCCAATAAAATGGGGAGTTCTGATAGGGTTGTTGAAAGGTTAATACTCTATAAGGGATGGCTATATTTATTTTTAGTCTGTAGCAGGATTGTTGCTAAATTTGGAGCAAGTTTCTCATTTAAAAGAAATTATGTAATTTTCTGAGGTGAAAGAATCTTTTTGTCAGAAGCTGAAGCCTGTTGAATATCATAAATCAATCTGAAATAAAAACTAAGCATTGCTAAAGTTTCAGTGTAAGGCATTAGAAACTTTTAAAATTCCACATGTATTTATTGTGTGTTTGTAATTTTTTATTGTGTAATCTGCGTAGAATGTTGACTTCAGATTCAGGTGTACAGGAATTTAAATTCAGTGTCTTCCACTTAATACTTGCTATATCCTTGTAAAAGGTGCAGGTTCTATGGGCTTTTGTTTTCACATCTATAAGATGAAAATAATGTCAATTTAATCAGATGATTAGGGGAATTAAAATGACAAATTGTATGTTAAACACCTAGCATAGTGCCTGGCACATAACAAGTATTCAGTAATTACTAAGTTTTATTAGTATTTTGAGAATACATACACGAAGTATGAGTGACGTTCTGTGACTGATAGTTTAGTGTGTTAGAATTGTTATTCCCTTCAGTTGTGACCTCAAGAGGTTATTCATTTATCCCCATGATACTGTGATTGGAGTGTTTTTCGAACTCAACTTTTGAAATTTCTTACATGTTTGTGGCCCATTCTTTTGAAATCCCCAATTCGAGGGCAGATTTTATTTTTTTATGGTAATCAAAATGGCTGCAAGTTAAATTTGAAATCAGTTTTGGGGACAACATTGGAATAAGACTAAATAGCAAGACCACTTTTCTTTTTTTTTTTTTTTTTTTTTTTTGTTAATACGAAGTCTTGCTCTGTTGCCCAGGCTTGAGTGCAGTGATGCGATCTCGGCTCGCTGCTGCAAACTCTGCCTTCTAGGCTGAGACAATTCTTCCACCTCAGCCACCAGAGTAGCTGGGATTACAAGCCTGCGCCACCATGCACGGCTAAATTTTGTATTTTTAGTAGAGAATGGGTTTCTCCATGTTGTCCAGTCTTGTCTTCAACTCCTGAGCTCAAGTGATCTGCCAGCGTCGTCCTCCCAAAGTGCTGGGATTACAGGCATAGCCACCACACTCAGCCCGACTGCTTTTCTTACATTGGATTCTAAAGATGATAGTAGGTGAATATTAAACATAATTTAGCATTACCATGATATTGTTAGATATCGTATTAAAGTTAGTATGTAATCTCCTATGATAACTATTTTGAAAAAGGACTACTATCTCTTCAGTATATAAGTTTATTAAAAACTATTACTTTAGAAGAAGGAAAGGATAAAGAAAAAACCTTCAGTGCTTATTTCTGTCTACTTACATAATTGTATTATTCACTTATATAGTCAATAGTTTACTCCTCTGTTTTCTGAATAAAGTGCATTTTTAAAATTTGTCTCTTCAGCGATCACCAGAATATACCAATTGTCGGTATCTATGCAAACTTTGCTTAATTCACATTGAAAATATCCAGGGGGCTCATAAACATATAAAGGAGAAACGACATAAGAAAAATATTTTGGTAAGTTCTTTTTAAAAAATACTTTTATTTATTTTTCAAGTTGTAAAACCATATTGAATATTTTTTATTTGTGAAACTAAAAATGAAATATTTGTCCAATCTTATATTGGTAACTGAAGTGATAGCTTTGGAAGCAATTGTTGCCTTCCTTATCTGAGATAATCAGGAAGGAACCTTGTTGAGACCGGTTTGCTCATCCTTTAGAATGTTGATTCCTAAGTTTAGAGCTGTTAGGTACAATTAGTCCATCCAACTGATGTTTATTGAGTTCTTGTGTGCTACTTCTAGGCAGTGGTGAATAAGATAGTTGTGGTTCCTGCCCTCAGATTTTCTAAGAATTGATGAGGGCATGCGTTGAATAAAGATTTAAATATAATGAGTCTTGTTAGGGGGGGAAGATTGTGCTAAGGAGGTGTATGAAGATATTTTACTTGATCTAGAACAGGGGAGGTTTCTCTGAGAAAGTGACTTTTGAATGAAGTAGTAGTTTAAATGGCAAAAAGGTGAGTGGCCTAGAAGGGTAAGTGGGAGAGCATTTTACACAAAAAGCAGCATGAATTAAAAGTCTTTAGGCAGGAAAAGGCATGGCATATGAGTAACTTTAAGTCTAGTATGATTGGAACAAAGAGAGCTGGGGGAAAATGATGTGATGTGAAGCTGGAGAAGTGCAGACAATTAAGAAACTTATAAGCTTCGGGAATTTGTAATTTTTCAGTTATTTCTATTGAAATATCCCATAGACATAGATATGAATAGAGGGCTTTTAAAAATGTATTAGTAAATTAGCTATTTAATTTTTTCTTTTTAAAGTTACAACAGCAGTAATAATACTGTGTAACCTCTTATCTCTAGGTCTTAGCTCATGTATCTTCTTTAAGAAATATTCTACCTGACCCTCTCAGCAAGTCTGGGTTGGATACTCCTTCTCTGTGCCCCCATAACAACTTCCACATATTTTGATCAGAAAATCTAACACATTGTATTCTGGCTGTCTACCTTCTCTTCCCTTCTAGACTTCAATATGCAGTGTTCTAGAAGGCATATTTAGTTATTTTTGTTTCTGAGTTCCTTAGGACAGTGTCTGACAACAGTAGGTGCTCAACATAGTTTTCTTGAAAACAACAAATGAACTGAAGCAGATAGAACAGGGACAAGGGAGTAGTTTAGGTGATAATAATTAGGAATTTTCCAGAAATGTCAGAAGATGCCTATCATTAGTTCCAGGAAGCTCGGGCTTGCAAGCAAGAAACCTTTTTTTTTTTTTTTTTGGAGACAGAGTCTCACTCTGTCTTCCAGGCTGGAGTTCAGTGGTGCAATCTTGGCTCACTGTAACCTCTGCCTCCCAGGTTTAAGCGATTACCCTGCCTCAGCCTCCCAGGTAGCTAGGATTACAGGCATACCATGCCTGGCTGATTTTTGTATTTTTAATAGAGACGGGGTTTCACCTGGGCAAGCAAGAAACTTAAAAAGAAAATCATACCTAGGCTGGGTGCAGTGGCTAAGGTCTGTAATCCCAGCACTTTGGGAGGCTGAGGCAGGTGAGTTGCTTGAGCCCAGGAGTTTGAGACCAGCCTGGGCAACGTGGCAAAACCCTGTTTCTACTAAAAATACATAAAAATTAGCTGGGCATGGTGGCATGTGCCTGTAATCCCAGCTTCTTGGGAGGCTGAGGTATAAGAATTGTTTGAACTCATGAGGTGGAGGCTGCAGTGAGCCAAGGTCACACCACTTCACTTTAGTCTGGGCGAGGGAGCGAGACTCTATCACAAAAAAAAGAAAAAGGAAAACTATACCTATACACATTACAGATTGAGTATACCTTATCCTAAATGCTTGGGACCAAAGTATTTTGGATTTTTTCAGATTTTGGAATATTTGCATTATACTTTAATGAGCATTTCCTTTGAGCATCATGTTGGTGTTCTAAAAGCTTCAGATTTTGGAGCATTTCACATTTTGGATTTTCAGATTAGGGATGCTCAGCCCGTATAGGGAAACTTTAGAACATTATAGAAATGAACAAAAAGAAAGCAAACTTGAATGCAGCCATATAGGACGTATACTTTTGGTGAAGTTAGAGTAACAGTGGATTTACTTTTCCCTTGAAATGACAAACAAAAAAAAAATACAGAAATATGAAGCAGTGGTTTTCAGGCGACAGAGTCAATGAATGAAAAACAAATGGCCTGAGCCCAATGTTGGCTCCAGCTTGAGAGTTTCTAGGTTGCACTATAGGGAAGGGAACCCAGTGGACTCTCACAGTTGAAGAGAGAGACCTTAGAGTGCACTAAGTCCAAGATAGCTAAAATTCACAGGACAGTGTAACTAAAATGAGAAAACTGCACAAAAAGAAATCCAGAGAACTGTGGATGATCCTCTTAAAGTATTCAGCACAATGCTGATTGGTGCATGCATATGAAAAAGCTTCCTGAACCCAGGGAAAGAATTGTCAGAGGAAATTAGACCAGTGATTGGTGCTCATACAGGACTTCTTCCTATCCAGACTGGAAAGCCTCGTGCTTCATGGGACACTGGGTAGAGTACTCAGAAGAATCTTGTTTCAGTAGTAGGGATATTTAGCCCTAAACTAAATGTGGTCTGGTCCTACATAAAATATTTTAAAGGCAACATTCAAAATGATAAATGGTTTCCAAGTATTTAATGTCATTACAGAACAAAGCTTAGGAATATTACAGAAATACAAAAATACTCATCACTGAAAAAAGTTCACATAATGTAGCATTTAGTCAAAGATTATCAGGTATGCAAAGAGGCAGGAAAATACAAATCATGATGAAGAGAAAAGTCAGCTATAATAACTGACCTTGAACTGACGCCTTTGTTAGGATTAGCAGAGAAGGACAGTAAGACAGTTAATATAACTGTATTCTTGATGTTTCAGAGATGAAGTAGAGACATGGAAAATATAAAAAAGATATGAACAGGACTATTAGAAACGAAAACTACGACATCTAAGATTAAAACTATATTGGGTAGGAATAATAGTACATCAAACATTGCAAAAGAAAAGGTTAGTGAACTCTTGAAGATAAGCAGTGGAAACCACCAGAGTGAAACACAGAAAGAAAAAATTAAACAAAAAGAAAAAAGTTAATGAGCTCTGGATAATTGATCAATATACATGTACTTGTTCTGTACAAATTTTTCCAGAACACTGAAGAGGAGAAATACTTCCCAGTTCAGTCTGTGAATATGAGGTCCACGTAACTCTGATATTCAAACCAGAGACATATTGCAATAAAGGAAAACTTTATTCTTAACTTGTTGACTCCGACGGGAGAAAAAAAAAGAAAGAAAACTTTAGGCCAAAACTCCTCATGAACATAGATGCAGAAATTCTAAATATAACTTTAGCCAATTGAATCCAACAGCATATTAGAGGAATGAATGTGTCATGATCAAGTGGGGCTTTATTCCAGGAGTGCAGTGTTAGTTTTACATTAAAAAATCCCTCATTGGCCAGGCGCAGTAGCTCAGGCCTGTAATCCTAGCACTTTGGGAGGCTGAGGAGGGCGGATCACCTGAGGTTAGGAGTTCGAGACCAGCCTGGCCAACATGGTGAACCCCGTCTCTACTAAAAATACAAAAATTAGCTGGGCATCGTGGCTCATGCCTGAAATCCCAGCTACTTGGGAGGCTGAACCCAGAAAGTTGAGGTTGCAGTAAGCTCAGATCGTGCCACTGCACTCCAGCCTGGGCAACAGAGCAAGACTTCATCTCAAAAAACAACAAAAACAAAAAAAACCCCGCTCATTGTGATTTACCATGTTAGCAAACAGAGAAAACTATGTGATTATCTCAGTAGATGCTGAAAAAGCGTTTTCAAAAATGCTTTGATAAAAAGTCTAAGCACAGCCAGGTGCGGTGGATCATGCCTGTAATCCCAGCACTTTGGGAGGCTGAGGTAGGCAGATCACCTGAGGTTGGGAATTCGAGACCAGCCTGGCCAATGTGGCGAAACCCCCTCTCCACTAAAAATACGAAAATTAGCCGGGCTTGGTGACCCACACCTGTAATTCCAGCTACTCGAGAGGCTGAGGCAGGAGAATCGCTTGAATCCCAGAGGTAGAGGTTGCAGTGAGCTGAGATGGCGCCACTGCACTCCAGCCTGGGTGGCAGAGTGATACTCTGTCTCAAAAAAAAAAAAAAAAAAAAAGTCTAAGCAAACTAGGAGTAGAAGACGACTTCTATAACATGATAAAGACATCTACAAAGCTGGGTGTGTTAGTCCCAGCTCCTTTGGTTGTTTGAACCTAGGAGTTTGAGATCAGCCTGGGCAATATAATGAGACCCTGTTAAAAAAAATCTACAAAAAACTAACAGTTATCATCATACTTAAGTATGAAAGACTGAATGCTGTCCCCCCAAGATTAGGAAAAAAGACAGGTATGAAAGTAGTGTAGCTGCCATGGAAAAGAGTACGGTGGTTCTTCAACAAATTAAAAATAGAACTACAGTATGATCCAGTAATTTCACTTCTGGGTATACACTTGAAAGAATTGAAAGCAGGGTTTCAAAGAGATATTTATACAACCAGGTTCATGGCAACATTATTCACAATAGCTAGTATGTGGAAGCAATTCAGATATCCATTGATGGATGAATAGATAAGCAAAATGTACAGTATTCATACAATGGAATATTACTCAGCCTTAAAAAGGATGGAAATTCTGCATTATGCAACAACATGGATGAACCTTGGGAAATTATGCTAAGTTAAATAAGCCTTTTAGAAAACGAAAAATAGTGTGTGATTCCACTTACATGAGGTTTTTAGAGTAGTCAGAATCAGAGACAGAATAGTGCTTGCCATAGGTTTGGAGGAGGGGAAAATGGGGAGTTATTGCTTGATAGATAGTTTTGATTTTGCATTTGTGTTCTGTGTTATAGTATTTGGTTTTTATTTTGAGCATTATGGAGTTTAATAACATGTTTGTTTTTTTTCAAGATAGAGTCTTGCTCTATCGCCCAGACTGAAGTGCAGTGGCGCTATCTCATCTCACTACAACCTCCACCTCCTGGGTTCAAGCAGTTCTTCTGCTTCAGCCTCCCGAGTAGCTGGGATTACAAGTGCATGCCACCACGCCTGGCTAATTTTTGTATTTTTAGTAGAGACGGGGTTTCACCATGTTGGCCAGGCTGGTCTCAAACTCCTGACCTCCTGATCCACCCGCGTCAGCCTCCCAAAGTGCGGGGATTACAGGTGTGAAACAGTGCACCTGGCCATAACATGTATTTTTGCAAGGTCACTCACCCTGGCTTCTGTGAAAGAAGCCTGAGAAGGGTCTGTTTGGGGAGACCAGTTAGCCTTTCATAATAATCTAGTTAAGCTGTGATGAACACTGACCTGAAGTAGTAGTTAGTGAGAATGGAATTGAGTTTTAAGAGAGATTCAGGATGTAGAATTGTGGGAGTACAGGCCTAGGATGTCTTGAATGATCATAAGGTGTCTGATTTGATATGTTATCATAGTTTGTGGTGCCATTTACTTAGCAGAAATAAAAAATGTTTCATAACATTCTGAGTTTGAGACACTTACAGAACATTTCAAGTAGAGATGTCCCACAGTCATTTGAATATAAGGATCTGGAACTTATATTAGCAGTTGGAGATTCAGGTTTGGTAAACTTCAGCAGTTGAAATCATAGTTGTGGATGAGGTCACCAAATGAGTAAGGACAGAATGTCAAGGAATACAAACATTTAAGGGACTAGTAGAGGAAGAACAGTGAATAGATTGGTGAATGAGTAGAATAATAGGAAAAATAGAGAAAGGTGTTAGAGAAGCTAAAAGAAAGGAAAGTTTCAAGATGGTAGTTGAAAATGTGATAATATAGATAAAAATAATCTAAAAGCTTAAAAGATGTCTGATTTGGTGCCTGTAGTCTCAGCTACTCAGGATGCTGAGGTGGGAGGATTGCTTGAGCCCAGGGGTTTGGGTCCATACTGGGCCACGTAGCAAAATCCTGTCAATTAAAAAATAAATAAAAATTTAAAATGTCAGATTTGGCAACTAAGGAGGTTTTGATAATCCTGGGAAGAACAGTTTCTGCTTTAGAACTAAAAAAGACATAGTTTTGAGTGAGAAGGGATAAGGAAATAAAAGGAGAATAGACTCAACTTTCAGGAAACTTCATTGTGCAGAAAAGAAGGGAAGATTGGTAGTAGCTAGACTGGCACACAGTTTTTTTTTTCTTTTAATTTGGCAGAGTAAAGTTCTTATCACAGTTTTAATTTTTTAATTTAAATAATCATTTAATTAATCTTTCTCTCTTGACTGTAAGCTCCATGAGGGCTGGGATTATATGCATTATTTTTTTCCCATCTTAGCACAGTACCTGGCATATAGTTGTTCCATAAATATTTGTTGATTAATGATTTAAATGGAGTGGAAAGAGCATACGGGTTGGAGTTAGAACTAGATTTAATTCTCAGTTCCACCTTGTAGTTGTAGGACGATATTTAACATCTGTAAGCCTCAGTATTCTTATGTATAAAATGGTTTTGGTAGTATCTATCTGGGGAGTAATATTGTGAGAATTAAATGACATAACATCTGTAAAGCACTTGGCACGGTGCCAGGTCCATAGTGGGTACTCAATAAATGATAGTTGTTGCTGTTAGTGTAGAGGCGAAGAGTGCTTACTTAATGTGCCAGGCTTGGTGGCTCACGCCTGTAATCCTAGTACTTTGGGAGGCCAAGGAAGGTGGATCTCCTGAGCTCAGGAGTTTGAGACCAGCCTGGGCAACATAGTGAAACCCCATCTCTACCAATAATACAAAAAATTAGCTGGGCGTGGTGGCACGTGCCTGTGGTCCCAGCTACTTGAGAGGCTTAGGTGGAGGAGCGCTTGTATCTGGGAGGTGGAGATTGCAGTGAGCAGAGATTACTCAATTGCACGCCACGCCAACCTGGGTGACAGAGGGAGTGAGATCCCATCTCAAAAAAAAAAAAAAAAAAAAAAAGAGGGCTAAGAGGGCTTACTTAATGAAAACACAGACTAGTAGATTGTGTAATGTTTAAGGAGAAGGAGATTATTACTGAGTGGGTAAAGAAGGATGGAATTCAGAGCACAGGTGATAGTATTAATCATGATTTAAATGGAGCATTTCATTATGTTGGAAAAGAAAGATATTAAGGGTTCGCTGAATATTTGACTTTTAAGCTGTAACTTGAAGGATGATTAGTTTTACCAGGTGGATACACATAGGGGACAAAATGATTTAAAGGCATGGAGACCCAATGGCACATAGAGTATTTGGAGACTGGTGACTGTTTAAATGTGGATGTCTGTCAAAAATATTGGAGAGGGTGGAGGGAATGGTTGGAGGAAGGCCTAGAAATGCAAATTGAGACCAAAATGCTTTATATTCCATGTTAAGAACATGTTGCATTGTCTTACCGGCGCATTGAAGGTTTTTTTTTTTTTTGAAATTTTTTTATTGTGGTAAAATATATATAAGATAAAATTTACCATTTTAACCATTTTTAAGTGTACAGTTCAGTGACATTAAGTACATTTACATTGTTTTGCAATCATCTCCACTGTCCACCTTCATTCAGAACTTTTTCATCATTCTATACTGAAACTCTGTATCCATTAAGCAATAACTCCCCATTCCCCTCTCCCTGCAGCCCCTAGTAACCACCATTCTATTTTCTGTTTCTATTTGCTTGTCTATTGTAGGTACCCCATATAAATGGAATCATACATTATTTATCCTTTAGTGTTATTTCACTTAGCATGTCTTCAGGTCAACCGCGTTGTAGCATCTGTCAGAATTTCTTTCCTTTTTGAGGTTGAATAATATTCCATCGTATCTGTATGCCATGTTTTGTGAATCATTTCATCCATGGATGGACACTTGGGTTGTTTCCACCATTTGACTGTTGTGAATAATGTTGCTGTGAACATCGATGTACAAATACCTATTTGAGTTCCTTTTTTCATTTGTTTTTTGTATATACCCAGAATTGGAATTGCTGGGTCAAATGGTAAATCCATGTTTAGTTTTTTGGGATTGCCATGCTGTTTTCCACAGTGGTGACATCATTGTACATCTTTACCAGTAATGCACAAGGGTTCCAAATTCTCCACATTCACACCAACTCTTGTTTTCTGCCTCCCCCCGCCCCCCCATAATAGCAATGCTGATGGATATGAAGTGGTATTTCATTGTGCTTTTGATTTGCATTTCTCTAATGATTAGTGGTATTTAGCATCTTTTCATGTACTTATTTGGCATTTGTATATCTTTGGAGAAATGTCTATTCAAATCCTTTGTTCACTTTTGAATTGGGTTGTTTGTTTTCTTATTGTTGAGTTTAAGGGATTATTTATATATTCTGGATATTAATCCCTTATTAGATACATGATTGCAAATATGTTCTTCCATTTTGTGGGTTGTCTTTTTACTCTGTCAGTAGTGTCTTTTGATGAACAAAAGTTCTAAATTTCGTCCAGTCTAATTTATCTGCTTTTACTTTTGTTGCCTATGTCTTTTGTGTCATATTCAAGAAATCATTGCCAAATCCAATGTCATGAAACTTACCTTCTGTTTTTTTCTAGGAGTTCTATGATTTTACATTTCTTAGTTACGGTTTTATAGCTATAAGTGTAGGTTTTAGTATCTTTCTTTTCTTTTTTTGTTTTTGAAATGAGGTCTTTGTTGCCCAGGCTGGAGTACAGTCATGGCTCGCTGTAGCCTCTACCTCCTGCACTGAAGTGATCCTGCCTCAGCCTTCCAAGTAGCTGGGACCACAAGCATGTGCCACCATGCCTGGCTAATTTTTTATTTATTTTTATTTTTTTGAGACAGAGTTTCATTCTTGTTGCCCAGGCTGGAGTGCAATGGCACAATCTCGGCTCATTGCAACCTCCGCCTCCTGAGTTCAAGCAGTTCTCCTGCCTCAGTCTCCCAAGTAGCTGGGATTACAGGCATCTGTCACCATGCCCGGCTAGTTTTTTGTATTTAGTAGAGACGGAGTTTTGCCATGTTGGTTGGGCTGGTCTTGAATTCCTGACCTCAGGTGATCCACCCGCCTCAGCCTCCCAAAGTGCTGGGATTACAGGCGTGAGCCACCGTGCCTGGCCTAATTTTTTATTTTTGTAGAGGTGGAGTCTCAACTATGTTGCCCAGGCTAATCTCAAATTTCTTGGCTTCAGCAGTCCTCCTGCCTTGGCCTCCCAGAGTATTACAACTGTGAGCCACTATACCTGGCCTAGTTTTAGTTTCTGACATTTAGGTCTTTGATCCATTTTGAGTTAATTTTTGTATATGATCTAAGGTCAGAGTCCAGCTTCATTCTTTTACATGTAGATATTCAGTTTTCCCAGCAACATTTGTTGAAAAAACTGTCCTTTCCCCATTGAGTGTTCTTGGCACCCTTGTCAAAAATCATTAGACCATACATGCCAGGGTTTATTTCTGGGCACTCTGTTCTTTTTTTTTTTGAGCAGAATCTAGCTCTGTTGCCCAGGCTGGAGTGTAATGGCATGATCTCAGCTCACTGCAACCTCCACCTCCCTGGTTCAAGCAATTCTCCTGCCTCAGCCTCCCAAGTAGCTGGGATTACAGACAGGCATGCACCACCACACCCAGCTTATATATATATGTGTGTGTGTGTATATATATGTATATATATGTATATATATTTTTTTAATTTAGTAGAGACGGGGTTTCATCATGTTGGCCAGGCTGGTCTTGAACTCCTGACCTCAAGTGATCCGCCCACCTCTGCCTCCCAAAGTGCTTGTAGGCATGAGCCACCACGCCTGGCCTGGGCTCTCTGTTTGATTCCATTGGTCTACATGTCTGTCTTTATTTTTATTTTATTTTTTTGAAACAAGGTCTTGTTTGTTGCTCAAGCTGGACTGCAGTGGTGCAATCTCATTTCACTGCAACCTCCACCTCCGGGGCTCAAGCCATCCTCACCTCAGCCTCCTGAGTAGGTGGGACTGGAGGTAGGCACCACCATGCCAGGCTAATTTTTATATTTTTTGTAGAAACAGGGTTTCACCATGTTGCCTAGGCTGGTCTCAAACTCTTGGGCTCAAGTGATCCTCCCACCTCAGCCTCCCAGAGTGCTAGGATTACTGGCATGAGCCACCATGCCCAGCCATGTCTGTCTTTATGCTAGTACACATAGTGGTTTGTTTTGTTTTCTTTTGTGTTTTGAGACAGAGTCTTGCTCTGTTGTCCAGGCTGGAGTGCAATGGCACGATCTTGGCTCACTGTAACCTCTGCTTCCGGGTTCAAGCAGTTCTCCTGTCTAAGCCTCCTGAGTAGCTGGGATTACCATTGTGTGCCACCATGCCTGGCTAATTTTTGTATTTTTAGTAGAGGTGGGGTTTCTCCATGTTGGCCTGTCTGGTCTCGAACTCCTGACCTCAAGCAATCCACCTGCCTTGGCTTCTCAAGTTGCTGGAATTACAGGTGTGGGCTACCTGACCTGGCCATGTTGTTTTGATTACTATAGCTTTGTAGTACGTTTTGCAGCCAGTAAGTGTGAATCCTCCAGCTTTGTTCTTTGTCAGGATCGTTTTGGCTATTTGGGGTCCTTTGAGAGTCTGTGTACATTTAGGATTGATCTTTATATTTCTGTGAAAAATGTCATATATATATATATATATATATATATATATATATATATATATATATATATATATATAATTTTTTTTTTTTTTTGTAATGGAGTCTTGCTCTGTCACCCAGGCTGGAGTGCAGTGGTGCGATCTTGACTCACTGCAAGCTCCACCTCCGAGGTTGAAACGATTCTCCTGTCTCAGCCTCCCAAGTGGCTGGGATTGCAAGTGCCTGCTACTATGCCCACCTAATTTTTGTATTTCTATTAGAGACGGGGTTACACCATGTTGGCCAGGGTTGTCTGCATCTCCTGACCTTAAGTGATACGCCTGCCTTGGCCTCCCAAAGTGTTGGGATTACACATGTGAGCCGCTGCATCCGGCCTTTTATCATTTTTTCATTAAGTCTGTTGCTATTAGTTCTTTGGATGGATCCTAAGTGAAACGGCCGGGCGCTGTGGCTCACGCCTGTAATCCCACCACTTTGGGAGGCCGAGGTGGGTGGACCACGAGGTCAGCAGATGGGGACCATACTGGCTAACACGGTGAAACCCCATCTCTACTAAAAATACAAAAAAATTAGCCAGGCGAGGTGGCGGGTGCCTGTAGTCCCAGCTACTCGGAAGGCTGAGGCAGGAGAATGGCGTGAACCCCGGGGGGGCGGAGCCTGCAGTGAGCTGAGATCGCGCCACTGCACTCCAGCCGGGGCGACAGCGAGACTCTGTCTCAAAAAAAAAAAAAAAAAAAAAGTACTGAAACTTAGATGCTTATGTAAGACTTAGATACTTAGATTATAATTAAGAATTGCAGAAATGATCACAGAGACTTAGAAAAATGAGTTTGACTTACCCCTCATGTTTGATAATTCCTTACCTGAGGTAAGCTTTACTTAGGTTAAGTCTGAATATGGTAACAGTTAGTGAAAATAGAAATGGACCAAAGTCTTTAAGTATATTTGATTGGGTAGGGAAACCAACTAGCTTTGGCTATTATATCTGATGGGAGCGTCATGTTTCAAAAGATAAGAGATGGTTTCTTGAGTGAAAAATGTTAATAGAAAATGCCTGTGTGGGGAGGGGATGTGTTAATAATACTAAATAAAAGAGAATGATTGTGGCTCAGTTGTGTTAAAGAATGAAGGAGATAGTAGGATATGAAATTGTGGGTTATTTTCTTCTTTGTATTTTCCTGTGTTTTATGTAGCTTTTGTAATTAACATTTTTTAAATCAGAAAATAATTAATAAAAGTCATTGCATATATATAGCAAAGTGTCTTTTTAGCTCCTAGATTTAAATTGGCTTTAAAACTTTTAGCAGAATAGAGGTTTTTTGAACATTTCGCATAGCGTTGGATAAAATCACAAAGAGAAATCACTGGTAAATAGTAGGCAGGAAGTTTTCCTGTGACCATTTAACTTGATACTGTATATGCTGATTAGATAGGATTCAAGACTTTTCTGCTACATCTAAGACAATCTGCCTTGGTGCAACAAAATCGTCAAGTTAGTATTGTACTTAAGGTACCTTGGCTTTAATGTAGCATTTCAGAATTTATGCAGACAGTACAGTGGAACAAATTTTTAAAAACTTAGTAGCATCCCCTCCCCACACAGTACCTCTCATTCTCAAAACCCTGCTTCCCAAAGGCAGAAGTCTTTTGTTCACTTCCGTATTGTAGGTATCTGGTAGATGGAAGGTGAATATTTTTGTTGAGTTAGTTTATTTCTGTCTTTCCCTGCTAAATATAAGAACAATTAAAATAGAAACTTTTTTTGTTTTTATTGTTGTGAATCATTACATTAATAGGAAAAACAAGAAGAAAGTGAGCTTCGTTCTCTGCCACCTCCTTCCCCTGCCCACTTGGCTGCTTTAAGTGTTGCAGTCATTGAATTAGCAAAAGAACATGGAATAACAGATGATGACCTCAGAGTCCGTCAGGAAATTGTGGAGGAAATGTCAAAGGTTATAACGACATTTTTACCAGGTAGAAATACATTTCATATTTGATTTTGAAAATCACAAAACTCTTCCCTTGCTCCTCTTGAACTAGAGTACATTTCTTAATGTTTTTCTTCCCTTTTCTCCTTAAAAGTAGATAAAATTTATTGTTTTATGAATGAATTTTTGAGGGAAATATTTCACACAAGGAAATTGAGAATTATGGCACAGCACACTTTTGTACTAAGAAAAAAAGATTTTAAAAATGCCAGATGTAGAACTATTTCTTGGCGGTCAAATATTTTAGTTTTTCAATATCACTGATTTCTGAGTGGACTATTTTGTTATATTATTTTCAGTATAAACATTTCATCCAGTCACTGAACTAAATTTCTGTTGCCTGATGGTGGGGAAAAATTAATTTACTTTAATAGGGCCTTTAGAAAAAGCTTATTGTTTGGTACAAGGGAGTGTCAGATTTATTTTAGATATTTATATATGGACTATTTGCTTAGCCCATATCTTTTTTGCATCAGTATAGGGTTAAAGTAAATGTATCTGACGTAAGACTTATTTCTTCCCACCAAAGGGATTTTGGAAAGTTGATAAATTATACTTTCATATAGATCCATTTTGAGATTTATAAGAAAGAATATAAAATTGAAATTTAAAAATGGAATTTTTAAAGTATTTATATCATAATATGGCTTTCTACCTAAAATACATTGAATCCTTGTTTAAGTTACATGTAAAAATTATTTACTATGATAAGAAAAGGAATGAATTTTTATGGGTTTAGTGACTTGAATGACTTTCAGACATTTTATGAACTTGAAAAGTAGACTTTTATATATACAACTGAGGATGAAGTTAAACTTTCTAAGAAACTAAATCTTCTTGATCTGTCCCAATCATATTATTTTCAAATTGGCCTCTGGTGAGATCCTTTTAACATTTGCCTTATTATGATTTTTGGAATAACATGTTTCATAGTCTGGGAAAGCTGTAAGTAGTGTGTTACTGCTTTTCTTTTTTTTCTATAAACTCTTGAGAACCACAGTGTTTTGGGTTTTAGGTTTACAGAATTAACTGACTTGGCTTCACTTCGTATTTTATAAAAGCATTGGCATTGAATGTTTATGATCCTTTCCCCAAAGTGCTCTTACATAAATATTTAAGAGTAAATAAATGTAGTTTGTGACAGTAGCCATAGCTAAGTTGGTACATTAGTTACTGTTATATATTGAATGCTAAACATATTGTCAGTCATTTCTAAATGAACTATTACTAAAATTTTGTTTAAACAGTAAGCTTCTGTGAGTAGTTTCTCTCTCCCTTCTCTGTTCCTACACTCCATAACTGGGAACCATTTTTTTATTCTATAGATCAGTTAGAAAGGGTGTTCTTCTTGTATAATTGTCTTACTAGAAATGGAAGACGTAGAACTGAAGTGTGTGAAATTTTCCCGTCGCTGTTTTTTTACATCTCTCATATTTGCATGCTATTTCATGCTTTGATGTTTTTCCTTTATTCCAGAATGTTCACTTAGGTTGTATGGCTCATCTCTGACTAGATTTGCTCTGAAAAGTAGTGATGTTAATATAGATATAAAATTTCCTCCCAAGGTAAGTAATTAGAATCTTTCCTGTGTGGTTCTTAACTAGTACTTAGTAATTTTTATGGATTATCTTTGTAGAGAAAGGATAGGGAAATATAAAACTCTGGTTTGTATAGTGTTACCATCGTGACTAAACAGTGCTTTTGGAAATTACTATTAGATTTCAGACAAAGGCAGGATAAAAGAAATAAGGGACAAGGGCAAAAGGAAGCAGAAGAGGAAAGCTGGAAAAAGGAAAAATGTTTATATTTGAACATGTTGAATAGTTAATACTTCTGGTAAGCAGTATAGAAGGTGGGAAGAGTTTTGAAATCAGATACCTAGATTCAGATCTTATCTGTGATAAGCAAGTTGCTTGAACTTTTTGAGCTTCAGTTTTCTCATTTCCAAAACAGGAATAATAATTTTTATATTAAATGAGATAATATTAATATATGTCAGGTGTCTTAATATAGTATCTGGTACATATGGGTACTTTTAATAAGTAGTACCTAGAATCATTAGAACAATATTGATATTGTTCTAATATTGTTATCAGTATTAGAACAATATTGTTTAGCACTGCTGACATTCTTTATTGACATATCAATCTTTTAAAATAAGTCAATATTTTATGTTTTAAATTGAATAATATGTTTATGTTCAGGGAGGTTTGATTTGGGTGAAAATTTGGTGTTTGTAGGGTGATACATTTACTTTATAATTAATGTATGGTTATTAAATATTTTTGTTGTTTGTTTTTGAGACATAACCTCACTTTGTTTCCCAGGCTGGAGTGCAGTGATGCAGTCTCGGCTGACTGCACCCTCCACCTCCTGGGTTCAAGCGATTCTCCTGTCTCAGCCTCCTGAGTAGCTGGGATTACAGGTGTGTGCCACCATGCCTGGCTAATTTTTGTATTTTTAGTAGAAACGGGGTTTCACCTTGTTGGTCAGGCTGGTGTTGAACTCCTGACCTCAGGTGATCCGCCTGCCTCGGCCTCCCAATGTGCTGGGATTACAGGTGTGAGCCACCGCACCTGGCCTAAATATTCTTAAATAGCAAAAAACACTTTAAACATTTGACAAGCTTGTTACATAAAATAGTATTTTATTCTAAGCCTTTTGACTAAGCTTCCAGTTGTCTATATCCCTTAAAGTTTTTATCTCAACAATTTGTTTTTCACAGTCATCTGGTCAACTCATTTCTCTTTTGTTTTGATGGGAAATTCCAGAACCTTTTCTTGCTTTAAGAAACCATTAATTCTAAGAGTGTTTCTGGAATAAAAGTGCTATATCATTTATTAGATTCTACTTCTTTGAACAAGATTTGTTGACATAAAAGTAAAACATGGCCAGGTAAGGTGGCTCATGCTTATAATTCCCGTGCTTTGGGAGGCAAAAGTAGGAGGAATCCTTCTTGCCAGGAGTTCAAGACCAGCCTGGGCAATATAGCAAGACCTTGTCTCTTAAAAAAAAAAAAAAAAAAAGTATTAGCTGGATGTGGTGGCACACACTTACACTCCTAGCTACTCGGGATGCTGAGGCAGGAGGAGTCTTTGAGCCCAGAAGTTCAGGCTGTAGTGAGCTATGGTCATGCTGCAGCCTGGACAATACAGGGAAACCTCATCTCAAAAAAAAACAAAAAAAAAACACGATTCTGTTTTCACTATTTAAAACACAAAGCATGATTATATTTAAATGTTATTCTTTAATGAAATTGAGTTTTCCTTAATGTTCTGCTGTCCGAACTTTGAAATTAGTATATCGATTTATTTTTGAAACTTTTTTAGATGAATCATCCAGATCTTCTGATAAAAGTACTTGGGATTTTAAAGAAAAATGGTGAGTTTCTTTTCTTTTTCTTTTCTTTTTTTTTTTTAATTTGTCTTTCTAAAGGTACATGTGTTGTTTATATATGGCTAACCAAGTTAAAACTAAACTGCTGGCATAGTTGAGTCATTGCATTACAAATGGAGATACATACACACACTTGTTTATAGATATACTAGAAAATATAATTTAACTGTAACTTAGGTAAAAAAAAAAATGCCATATTAAAATTGATATGTAGGCTGGGCACCGTGGCTCACACCTGTAATCCCAGCACTCTGGGAGGCTGAGATGGGTGGATCACCTGAGGTCAGGCGTTTGGGACCAGCCTGACTAACATGCTGAAACCCCGTCTCTACTAAAAACACAAAATTAGCCAGGCGTGGTGGCACGTACCTGTAGTCCCAGCTACTCGGGAGACTGAGGCAGAAGAATTGCTTGAACCCGGGATGCGGAGGTTGCAGTGAGCTGAGATTGCGCTGCTACACTCCAGCCTGGGCGGCAAAAGTGAAACTCCGTCTGGAAAATACAAAAACAAAAAACCTTCATATGCAAAAAACTACTGCCTTTTGGGTAATTAAAAAATATTTGCTTTGAATATTATGGGCATTTCTTATGTAAAAGAAGACAAAACCTATAATCATTATGAGGTCATTACTGAAAGAAGATTAAGGAGAGACTTGGAATAAAAATGTATGCATGCATTGAGTAAATATGTTTTTTCCCACCTAAAGCATCTATATTAATTTAATCATTTATATTACATCAGTTGAATCATACCTAGTTGAGTTTTTCATGTGTGCTTTTTCTGTCTGGATTGCCTTTGTAAACACATCATTCATATAGGTAAGAAAAATTTAAAAATTACAAGATTCTCAAACCAGGCTCCAGGTCATGTGTTACAATCTTCAAGATTTGCTTGGTTTTTACTTACTGTTTTTCTTGTTACAAAGTGAATGCTTAAGATTAAGCTTGGGAGCTGGAGCTAGACTTTCTGGGCTCAGATTTTAGTTCTGCCACTTACTGGTTGTGTGTCCTTTGACAAATTATTTGTGTTAATACCTTAGCTTTCCCATCTGTAAAATGGTAATATTACATTGTATCTTTTTGATGAGAAAGTTGTTGTAAGAATGAGATAGGCTAAACTATAGTTTAGAAAAGTGTGGGATATACAATAACTTCTTATTACGTTTTTGCTGTTGTGATTGTTATTATTACCCTAAATTATATGAATCAAAAGTATTTGCAATTTGGGTTAGAAGAGAGAGCTTTTTTTTAAAGCCATACTCTCTCATTGGCTTTAATATGAATTCTAAATTTCTTTTTTCTTTCTGTCCACACAATCAGCTCTTATCAGTTTCCTGTTGGCCATTGTCTTGGGAAAATAGTTTTCTAGGAATGAGTTTGGTACAGTGTATCATATAAAGGTATTTTAATACAGTTTTCTTTCTTCAATACTTGTTTCTAATTGCCGAAAAACTTTTAAGTTTACTACAGATAAGAGGTAGACATAGCATTTACCTCTTCAGACTTCCTAGGTAGTATCATCCTAGCACAAATATTTAATATATGCCTTTTCCATCCAAGATATATAAGTAGATTATCTTAAGTCATACAATGTAGGCTTATAAAACTCAGTCTGATTGTAAAATTGATTATTTCTTCCTTTATGTTCTTACTGTATCTTCTACAGGTCACCTACAGGATTTATATGTTTATATATTTGTGTCCCAAACCCCTTATTGACCTTTTTTGTGTTTTACTCATTGTCATATTGACCCTGCTTAATGCAGTTTCTGACATATAGGTCTTCAGCACGTGTTTTTTGACTAAATTAATAATTACAACAAGTACTATTGAGAAATTTTCTTTGAATTACAAGTGATGTTAATCTATCTGGTTTTTTTTTGTTGTTGTTATTTTTGTTTTGTTTATTTTGAGATGGAGTCTCGCTCAGGCTGAAGTGGGAATGTAGTGGCACGATCTCGGCTCACTTCAACCTCTGCCTCCTGGGTTCAAGCAGTTCTCTGCCTCAGCCTCCCGAGTAGCTGGGATTACAGGCGCGTGCCACCATGCCCGGATAATTTTTGTATTTTTAGTAGAGACGAGGTTTCACCATCTTGGCCAGGCTGGTCTTGAACTCCTGACCTCGTGATCCACCCACCTCGGCCTCCCAAAGTGCTGGGATTACAGGTGTGAGCCACCATGCCCGGCCAATCTATCTGTTTTTATTTAGATTAGACATTTATGGCATGGGGCTTACCCTTGGAGATACAGAGAAAGATTTCAGGGTAGAAATGTGCTTCATCCGGTTAGTCCTTCCTTAGCAGCTTTGATTAGGCAAACTCTTCATATACTAACGGGAAATGTGGCCTGAAGAGTTAGGTTGTAATTACATTGGTAATTTAAAAGAACTAAACTGTCAAAGCATGATAGGTCCTCCTTTCATGGCTCCTGTGGAACTAGCTCTCAGGAGTAAGGGGTGTCCTCTCTTTGCTGTTATCTATGAAGGTTTAACAACTTTGACTAGATTATCTACTTACTTGGAAATATTAAAACTTTTAGGGATGTTAAGACCTTTCTTAAGGTGATTATAATTTTTGGACAGTATTTGGGGCTGTACCTGTGGTTTGTGATATACAGCAAATGACACCAGGAGAGGTAAGAGATTTCGCTGGGTTGGTGCTCATAATGAGAAGAGTGGATTATCCCACAGAAGCAATGAGAATAATTTTCAGAAGGAAACTGTTACTTAATGTTTACTGTAGAGTACGTATTTTAGAGATGTTGACATTAGCTTACTTTTTTTTTTCCTTATTAGTATTATATGTAGATGTGGAATCTGATTTTCACGCTAAAGTTCCTGTTGTGGTGTGCAGAGATCGAAAAAGGTTGGTAACAATGAAGATAAAATATTTAAAAAAACAAACCCCAACAACCAAATTTGTAGTGAATGATCTTTAAGAGAAAAAGTTTTTGTTTTAGATTTCTCCTTGGATGAATATGACTAAGCTAGTTTCTATTCATTAAAAATAGCAAGCTTACCAAATGCATGTGAACAAGAAATATATAGAACATCAGACAGTTGAAAATAAAATACTCTAGGCAAAACTTCAATTTTTTTTTTTTCAAGTCATTCACTCACCCAAGAGTATTGCATTTACTTATATGCAGGTACTACTTTGCTCTATGGATACAGACATAAAGAAGAAATAGCCTCTCTTCAGTCACTTGAGCCCAGGAATTCAAGACTAGCCTGGGCAACATAGTGAGACCTTGTCTCCACAAAAAAAATAAAAAAATCAGCCAGGCATGGTGGGTGTGTGTGCCTGTGGTCCCAGCTACTCGGGAGGCTGAGGTGGGAGGATGGCCTGAGCCTGGGAGGTTGAGGCTGCAGTGAGCCGTGATTGTGCCACTGCACTCCAGCCTGGGTGACAGAGTGAGACCCTGTCTCAAAAAAAAAAAAAAAAAAGCCTCTCTTCTCAAGGATCTCACAATCCATTAGAATTTAGAGTTTAGTTTTTATTTCACTTACATTGAATGAGTTGATTTAAATTGAATAAACTCAAGATCAGTCCTAAATTGAAGACTGATCTTGCCTTTCTAGTTAGATGTCTATAAGTCTAAGAGATCAAAGTGCCTTTGAAAGCAGAAACTAAATCCTATTTGAAAGTAGTGTGGGAGACATGGAAACAATACAGAAATGATATTCTTTTATTGATTATTAACTTGTATTATATTTTAAGATCAAGGTATTTTCTTATTCAAAGCTAGATGAGTCTATGGCGATCTAGTTCAGATTTATTTTCTAAACTAGAAAAATGGGACCTGGAGTGGTTTATCAGTTTGTCTAGATTCACATCATTGAGGGGGAAACTATAATTGGAAAATGGAGGCAAAGTGACCTTTAGTGTTTTTTCTGCCACATTGTGTTAAATTGCCTGTGTGTGACACCTCAGATTTATTCTTCTCCCTGCTTTCAAAATATCTTCACTACACTTCTGTCATCCCATTTAAGGTTGCTGCTATTTTCACTTACACAGAAGTATAATTTGTGGGTTAATCTGCAAATCCTGTCTAATCTTTACTCTGAAAATAACATATTAGTACAATTGTGAAAGCTTGGATAGGAAAAATTAGAGTCAAGAAGTATAGCCAGTCAGTTAAGTATTCATTTTTTGCTATTATCATGTAGAAAGCAAGAGGATTGAACTAGGAAATTACCTTGCACTATTTGACATTGAAGAGATCAGTGCCCTGTCTCTCATGTATATCAGTTTTGATAATTCATAATGCTGCTTTTGAAATTAATTTCTCATTAACTTAAATACTAAGTTTGGTTGAAATTTATTTCTGAAGTACAAATGAATGTTAAAAACATCTTTCTTTAATTCGTATGGAACTCTAGTTATGGAATGACATGTAGTTTTCAGTTAGCTCTAAATTTATTAAAACATTTGTTTTTATTAGGGCTTTTACGGTACTATGTTACAATATGATAACTAGAAAGAAAATAGCCACAGGATTTGAAGTATTCTGCTTTTAAGGGTATTAATACAATGAAATTTGTTTCTTTCTCATTCACAGTGGTTTACTTTGTAGAGTGAGTGCAGGAAACGATATGGCATGTCTCACTACTGATTTACTTACTGCCCTTGGCAAAATAGAACCTGTCTTTATTCCCTTGGTGTTAGCCTTTCGCTACTGGGCTAAGGTAAGTGAAAGAGAGGAAAACTACTTATTTATATTTTTAGAAGGAAATGTATTTAATCTTCAAAATTAGGCCTTTTCTTGTACTGACATGTAACATCAATCATAACATGTGGGAGAAAGTAGTTTTCTGTGCTAGACAGAAAGTTGGTGTGGCAGGTTGTAATTTATGGACATAAAAATAAATTTTTGTAGACACACTTATGGATATATTTTAGAATTTTTAATTGTCATGCTATATTCTCCTTTTATGTACTATAGAAATGTTCTCTTTCATATCAGCATATGAGGCTCAAGTTTTCACTCTTACTGTAAGTTAAACTTGTAAGGTTTTAAGATGTATATACATTAAGATTCTTTTGTTGGCATATTTTTTTCCCCAGTCTCTAAGAATGCTATTCTCTTTCCTCTAAATCATTGATAACATGTACCAATTTCTGATTGGGCAACTGCTGAGCATTAGTTATTTAAGTTTCCTAAATTAGTCTTAATTTGTATGTCTAAAGGCTGTGGTTGCCCTGTGTTTATTTCTTTGATGTGGGGATAGGGAGTAGTAGTTAATTATCAATATCAGTCCAAATGACTAGAGAGAGAGATTTTAGCCTTTTGTTTGTGTATTCCTGCCCTATCGGTAGAGTATTCATCACTTGTTAGACTGGTGAGTAAATTCTCAGTCATATACAAAGAAAACTGGTTAAGGGGATGGTGTTAGAGTGGTAACTTCATAGCAAAAATAGAGAAGTCTCTGGAATTTTTTGTCTGGGCTCTGTTTAGAGAATTGCCCCCATGCTTGGAGCAGCACCAGCTGGCTGAGTACGAAACAGTCAGAAAGCCTAAGGTTGGGGCTTCTTTATACTCAAGGCCTTTGTATTTGCTGTTTCCTTCATCTAGAATGTTCTTACCTTAGGTATTTAGAATGCTTCACTCTTACTTTTTTCAGGTTTATGCTCACATTGATTACCAGCTGCCATACATAAATTTGTTGCAGTCTGTACTGTGAAATTGTAAACTCTTTGAGGGCAGGGATTTTAATGTTTTATGTATTCACGGCTGATCCCCACTTCCGCTTATTTTACTGTGTCAGCACATAGTAGGCACTCAGTAAATATTTGTTGAATAAATGACCTAGTTTCTTCAGAAAGGAGTTGTGTTTTTTTTTGTTTGTTTGTTTAAGTAGAGATGGGGTCTCATGATGTTGCCCATGCTGGCCTTGAACTTCTGGGCTCAAGCAGTCCTCCCACCTTGCCCTCCCAGGTGCTGGAATTATGGGTGTGAGGCACTGTGCCTGGGCCAGAAAGATTTTTAACCCATGGAAGAGAGTGGAGGCAGTAAAATAGGTTGAGGGAGGGTGACTACTTCCTCTCATTTATCTTATACTCTATGCCTAGCATACTATAGGAAATCAGTGTATGGAATGGAGTAAACCAATTCCAGGTATGGTTTTTTTTACTAAGTTTTTTTTTGTTTTTTGAGATGAGGTCTCTGTCACCTAGTGCTGGAGTGAGCGATCACGGCTAACAGTAGCCTCGACCTCCCAGGCTCAAGCGATCCTCCTGCCGCGGGCTTCCAGAGTACCTGGGACCACAGGCGTGTACCAACGTGCCTGGCTAATTTTTTATTTTTTATTTTTGTAGAGATGGGTTCTCATTTTGTTGCCCAGGCTGGTCTTCAACTACAGGGCTCAAATGATCCTCCCACCCTAGCCTCCCAAAGTGCTGGGATTACAGGTGTGAGCCACAGCACCCAGCTTTGCTAAGTCTTCAAGCAAGGTACTTCACCTATCTGAGCTTCAATTTTTTTCACCTGGAGAGAATATTTTGGTAATGCTATTAGATAATTCATGAGAATATACTTCAGGCTCGAAAATACTACAGAAATATAAAGGATGATGGAATACACAGTTGCTTCTTTGTTGGTACTTTTAAATTATGCCCTAATTTTTTTTGTGGTCATAAAGTCATGTCAGTTTTCTCCCAGACATTGTTCTACTCAGTAAAATAAGTAGTCTGTGTTAGAAGATTATAAATGATACTCAGATACATTCTTTTTATTTTGGAAAAAAATATGGCCCATAAATATTGTTTCCTAAAGTGACTCTTGGAAAAGGTTGCTCATGGTGTTTTAGTAGTTGATCCATGTAGATTCTAAATATGCCAGTCAATGGACACTGAAACATATATTACAAAACTGGTTGTAGAATGGTTTCTTTCTGTTTCCAACAGAATAACATGTCTCGTTTTTGTCATTTGTGTTAGTTGCAAAGAAAGTTTTTTCATGGTATTCATTTTCTTAAGAAACTTAGAAATAATTCCTAGTTTATTTTTCTTCTAAAAGATTTTTTTAAAATAGCTTTGTTTTTCTTGAAGTTTTAAGCCATATTGTACATTATCTAGTTAAGCACGCATTTTTCCATGATTTGGGGGTTCAGGACAATTCTAGTATATAATTTACTCTTATAACTGTGATATGAGATTGCAGTTGATTATTCTCTGGCTGTCTTAAGTAGTTATAGTCTTTGCATTTTAGTAATGGGAAATAGTTTTCTAGATAAAGCTTCTTAACTCTAGGTGGCAGAACTCTTTAGCCTTATCATCAGTACATTATTAGTCAAGTTACCTGACTTAGAGCCACTTGTCGTGGTTAATGTAAGAATTGCATTTTAGCACTATTTGTCATCTGAAAGAGATATCTGGGTTTTAAGAGCTCTCTCTTAAACTGCTTTAATCTTGTTTATCTGTGAGATGTCTGGTAATGTTAGCAGAATATATTGACAGTTCTTTATAGTTGCAAAGGAATTTTTGGTTAAGTTGACTTATTCATTAGGCAGTTTACCCTTGTCTTAATATTTTGGATAAGTGAGAGTTTATTCTAGTGGAATGTTTCAAATTCTTTTTTGACAAGTGTTTTTAGTTGTCTTTTATTTTGAGTTGCAATCTTAAATGTACCAAGATATTATGCTACGGTATAATTACTCTATATTATTATTATTATCCTAAATCTTCATTGTCTACAGAAGAAAACAATGATTTAAAAATGAATCCAACCAATCCAGTATAGACCAATCGTATATAGATGCTACAATCTAAATGAAATATAAGCAAATGAAATATATCCATGTATCAAAGGTTAATATGCCATGATCTTGCATGATTTACTTCAAGATTATAAGAATGGTTTAATATCAGGAAGTCTGTTCACATAATTTATTATATTAACACATGAAGCAGAAAAAAAAATCCTAGATGCTGAAAGGGCATGTTCTCCCTAACAGAAACTTTTAAGTCAGCTAGAAATGGAAGTTTATGATGAAAACCATTTATTAAAAACACACAAAAAACAAAGGCAAAACAATAAGAAACATCATTTAAGCCATATATGTTAAGATAAAGAATATTGCAGAGAAGTTCACCATTGATGTTGTACATTGTTTTGGGATTTTAGGAAATGCAATAAGAAAATGAAATAATTGAATGTAAATATTGGGAAAAGTATAAAATTATCTCTTTGTGCGAATGATATGATTGTACACCTAGAAAACCCTAGTAAAAAACTACTAGGATTAATAAGAGAATTTAGTAAGATAACTAAATACAAGATAAATATACAAAAGTGAATGGCCATTCTCTGCCATAAAAATAGCCTGTTAGAATGGAAATGGGGAAAAATGTGTACCTTTATGACAGCAACATAAATTATAAAACACTAAGGAAGAGATTTAATAACAAAGATATAAGAAGAAATTATATTATTGAAAGATGAAAGCAAAATCTGAACAAATCCATGCATTCAGCAAACATTCGTTAAATGCCTTCTGTGTGTCAGACACTGTTCTAGAGGCTGGGAACATCTAACAGGACATACAGAGTCCTGCTTTCATGGTGCTCACATACTTCTGGAAGAGTCAAACAGTAAAGAAATACATAAATAATAATATCTGCTAGAGCTTAGTGCTACAAAAATGAAATGATAGAATGAATGACATTACTCTGAATGGTCAGGAAAAGACTCTGAAGAGATGATATTTAAGCTCAGACGGGTAATAGCTAGCCACATGAAAATCTGATGGAAAACTCTCCAAGGCACAGTTAGTCCAAAGCTTCCAAGGTGGGAATGAACTCAGGAGGAGCAAAAAGGAAGGCTGTAAAACTGCTTTAATCAAGAGTATGCTATTGGCATAGAAATAGAAAAATAGATCTGTGGAACAGAATAGAATGCTCAGATGATCTAGTGTACAGATTTTATTAAATAGTGCTTTCACAACTGTATCTTACTGGAAGAAAATAATGTTGGACTCAGCATGCTAAATGCAAAAATAAATTTTACTTAAATGAAAATTTAAAATTTTAGAAGAAAAATGTAGGAGTATGTATATGTAAATAATGGGATGGGGAGATCTTTTACTATGATAGGATACCTAGAAGGTGTATAGTTGTCCTCAGTATCCAGTGGTAGGGGGATTGGTTCCAAGACCCCCAAGGATACCAAAATTTGAGGACGCTCAAGTCCCTTATACAAACTGTGTGTTATTTGTATCTAACCTTCACATAGACTCTAACATACTTTAAGTCATCACTAGATTACTTATAACATCTAATACAGTATAAATGCTCTGTAAATAGTTGTACTGTATTTTTTAATTTGTATTTTTTATTATATTGCTATTTTTAGTTTTTAAAATTTAACATTTTAATTTTTTTCAGAGACAGAGTCTCACTCTGTTGCCCAGGCCAGAGTGCAGTGGTGCCATCATAGCTCACTGTAACCTTGAACTCCTGGGCTCAAGGGATCCTCCCACCTCAGCTTCCTGAGTAGCTAGGACTACTGGTGTGTGCCACTGTGCCTGGCATATTTTTGTTTTGTTTTGTTTTGCTTTTTCAAGAGGCAAGGCCTTTGCACCTGGCGTTTAACAAATTTTTCAATTATATATATTTTTAGAGACGGAGGTCTTGCTATGTTGTCTGGGCTGGACTCAAACTCCTGGACTTCTGCCTCTGCCTCTTGAGTAGCTAGCTGGGACTACATCAGCTGCAGGTGATATGTGTCCATCACCACACCTTGCAATAAATAAATAAATAATTTTACTTAATGAAGAAAATGTATATATAAATTTTTTGATGGGGTGTTGCCCAGGCTGGAGTGTAGTGGCGCAATCTCAGCTCACTGCAACCTCTACCTCCTGGGTTCAAGTGATTCTCCTGTCTCAGCCTCCCGAGTAGCTGAGATTAAAGGTGCCTGCCACTGTGCCTGGCTAATTTTTGTATTTTTAGTAGAGACAGGGTTTCACTATGTTGGCCAGGCTGGTCTCGAACTCCTGACCTTAAGTCATCCACCCACTCTGCCTCCCAAAGTGCTGGGATTACTTGCATGAGCCAGTGTGCCCGGCCTAAAAAATATTTTCAGTGTGCAGTTGATTGAATGTGCAGATGCAGAACCCATTGATATGGAGGGCTGAGTGTCTGAAATAAGCATATTTAAACTAAAGCATAGTGAAAATAAAAAATTTTATATGGTAAGATATAAATAATATCAAAAGAAAAATAGTAGATTGGGAAAAATAACATCTTTCAAATGCATATATCAGACGTAAAGGGTTATTATCTATAATTAAAACTCTTATAAATTGATGTATTGGATGAAAATAGAAAAACTGGCAAAATATTTAATAGGCAATTTAGAAAAGAATAAATCCCAAATGGTTAGTAAACATACACAAATTTCATAATCTCTTTAGGGTCAAGGACATGCAAATTAAAGTAACCATCAGATACTACATTTCACCCATCCCATTGAAAATTATTGAAAATTATTTTTTAAGTGATAATACCTAGTGTTTGAAGGGGTGTATGCACAGGATAATACCTAGTGTTCGAAGGGGTGAACACACCTGGGTTCCTAGTGGAAAATACGAATTTTTGTAGTGATTTTGGAAAAACGATTCTTAACAATATATTTTAAGATTAAAATATATCACTCATTTTTTAATTTAACAAACATTCCTAGGCATACAGCTCATAGAAATAAGCACCAATACTTAGGAAACATGTATAAGGATGAACATTACAGCATTATTTGAAGTGGCAAAAACTGGGAACAAAATGTGAATGTTCTTGAATGGGGGAACTGTTACGTAACCATCCATATCATAGACTATAATTTAAGCATTTAAAAGAATGTGTTGGCTGGGCATGGTGGCTCATGCCTATAAATACCCAGAACTTTGGGAGGCCGAGCGGGGAGATCTTTTGAGCCCAAGGGTTCGAGACCAGCCTGGGCAACGTAAGTAAAATTTGTCTACAAATAGTCTACAAAATAAAAAAAATTAGCTGAGCATGGTGGTGCATGCCTGTAGTCCCAGCTATGTGGAAGGATCACTTGAGGCTGGGAGGTTGAGCCTGCAGTGAGTCATGATCATGCCACTGCACTTCACCCTGGGCTACAGAGCAAGACCCTGTCTCAAAAATAAAATAACGTGTTAGATCTTGCTAACTGACTTAAAGGGACTTTCTTGATATATTGTTAAGGGAGAAGAGTAATATACAGAGAGATGTCTATAATATACTATTTTGGTAAAATAATGTTGAAAAACTTAAACTTCTCCCTATACCTATATAGGAAATAGAAATGTATGTGTATTTGTATATGAGTATAGAAAAAGGCCTAGAAGAAGACATAGAAGGTTGTTAATTGAAGTAGAAGTAGAGGCAAGATGAAAAAATATTTTTAAAATGTGTCCACAGTAAAATAACTACATGTAATATTATTCCTTTTAACAAAAATATGTATCTTTGTATGAATTTTAAAAAGAATGAAAAAAATGATCATCAACATTTTAATGGTTATTTTAGAGTGATGATATTTCAAGTTATTCCTTATATTTTTCATTGTCATTTGAACTTTTTACAATGATTAGGGTAGGAAAAAGCAAGCTACTTTTATCATGAAAATTAAGAAAGCTAAATGGTAGTACTTTTTTCCCCTTCATTTTGCAGTTGTGCTATATTGACTCCCAAACTGATGGTGGAATCCCTTCTTACTGTTTTGCTTTAATGGTGATGTTTTTTCTACAACAGAGAAAACCCCCTCTTCTTCCTTGCTTACTTGGAAGTTGGGTAAGCATGAATTTGTGACATATATATGCATATATATATATAGTTTGCTCTTGCAGAGAACTCTGCTCAAACATTTTAAGCTGGAATTCTGGTTTGTCTGTTTGTCCATCTTTTTTTTTTTTTTTAAATAATTTTTCCACTACCAATTTGGAATGCCTTTTTATATAGATTGAAGGCTTTGACCCAAAAAGAATGGATGACTTTCAGCTGAAGGGCATAGTAGAAGAGAAGTTTGTGAAGTGGGAATGTAATTCAAGTAGTGCAACTGAGAAAAACTCAATTGCTGAGGAAAACAAAGCTAAGGCAGACCAACCAAAAGATGATACCAAGAAGACAGAAACAGACAACCAAAGTAATGCCATGAAGGAAAAACATGGCAAAGTAAGCCTTTTTGTTTTTGTTTTTTGGCTTTTCTATCTGTAGAATTTGTGATATTCTTCGATTGAAGCTATTTTAATTGTAGATTGACTGACCTTGAGCAAGCCTCTTGGCCTCATTTTCCTCATCTATAAAGTGAGGGGTTGATCTGGTTTAGTTTTTCAGTACCAAGATTCTCTAATGAATTTATGCCTTATTTTGGAAAACTTGTGTTGTTTGAATCATGTCAAGATAAATCTGTCATTTTTCATCTAGACAAGGAAAATTTCCTTTAAGAGTTGGGCTCTGACCAGACTTCAGCATATGGGAATTTTGTTGCCAATTGGGTGGAGAAATAAAGCCCCTGTGCTCTAAGAGAGGGTAGCTTTGCTTATTTGATCATTCAGCATTCATTTTTAAGGACCTGCTATGTGCCAGGCATTATCTTGAGTGCTAGAGAACCAAAGGTACATGGATTATGTCCTTCAGAAGCTTGTAGTCTTCTAAATGGACAGATGCATTATTACAGAAATCTGAACATTTCTGAAATCATTGCTCTAGCTATATTGAATTATTTGTAGTTTCCTGATATACTTGACTATTGTATTCAACTCTTCCACTTTCCTGTACTACTGTATACTCTCTCCTCAAACCACTAATACTCTCAGCCAATGCTTGCTTATTACTTCACTGGGAACTTGCCATGTTCTTATCTAAAGTCATTTTCTTCACTTGCGTATTCAGTCTCATCCTTTCTTGTCTTTTCCAGAATATCACTCTAGCAATTATTCCCTCATAAATTGCCAATTTTTCATTCCCTACAAAATCAAACATGCTCTTACTTCTCCCACTGTAAGAAAAATCTGACATCACTTCCCCTCCCAGCTATTCCTTTGCTCCCTTTTGCAGCGAAACTTCTTAAAGAAATGTCTGTATTTACTATTTTTGATTTCTCTGTTTCCCCTTAACTCACACTAATCAGGCTTTGATGTCACCCCATCAGTTTGCCAAAACTTGTATCATCAATGTCAGTAACCTCCACATTACTAAATCCCGTGGTCATTTCTCAGTTTCTGTTGTTTTTGATTTATTAGCAACACTTGCCAGTTAATTACTTCCCTCTCTGAAAATTTTATTCACTTGACTTTCAGGACACCAGACCCGTGTCTGGTTATTCCTTCTCAGTTTCCTTTGCTGGTTTCTTTTTTCCTCTGTAATCTCTTAAAGTTGAAGTGCTGTAGTTCACGATCCCTTTTTTCTTGTGTATGTACATTCCCTTGGTAATCCCATCTAATCCTGTGGATTTTAAGTACTGTCTGTATGATGATCACTCTCAAATTCAAATCTCCAGCCAGACCTCTCTCCTGACCACCATAATTGTATAACCAACTGCCCATTTATTGTCTCTACTTAGATATCTAATAGTCTTTTTTTTTTTTTTTTTTTTTTCCTGAGACGGAGTCTCGCTCTGTCGCCCAGGCTGGAGTGCAGTGGCACGATCTCAGTTCACTGAAACCTCTGCCTCCCAGGTTCACACCATTCTCCTGCCTCAGCCTCCCAAGTAGCTGGGACTACAGGTGCCCGGCCACCATGCCCGGCTAATTTTTTGTATTTTTAGTAGAGATGGGGTTTCACCGTGTTAGCCAGGATGGTCTCAATCTCCTGATCTCGTGATCCACCCGCCTCAGCCTCCCAAAGTGCTGGGATTACAGGCGTGAGCCTCCGCGCCCGGCCGTCTAATAGATGTCTTAAACTTAATGTGTCTAAACTGAATTCCTGATCCTCCCCTCAAACTTGCTCCACACTTAGTTTTTTCATCTTAATTGTTTGCACTGCATCCTTTCAGTTGCTCAATTAACTGAAAGGATGTTCCTTTCGGTTAACCTTGGAGTCATCCTTTACTTCTCTTTCATACCCTATATCAAGTCTTGTCAGGAAATCCTGTCATCTCTACTTCAACATGTATCCAGAATTTGATTACCTCTCACTACCTCCACTGTTACCTTCCTGGTCCTAGCCACCATCATCTCTGGCCTGGGATACTACTATAGCCTCCTAACAGGTTTCCCTGTGTCTACCCTTTCCTCTTATGGTCTGTTCTTAAAAATCAGAACAGTTCTTCTAAAACTTAAGCCAGATCATGCCCTTCCCTCTCGCCACACTCAAATGCTTCAGTTGTTCCTCATTTCATTTAGATAACAAGCCAAACAGCCCTTCCTGGCTCTTTGCTTTCTTTCCTCTTCTACTCTTCCTCTCACTCTATCTTGGTTTGCTTTTTAAAACTGGTCTCATTCTTTGTGTGTTTGCCCTGTTTCCCATTCCTGTAGCACCCTTCCCTCTTCTTAAACCGTACCTTCTCAATAATTCTTATCCTGACTACTCTATTGAACACTGTAACCTTCTCCTGCTTCCACACTCCCATCCTTTTTAGCGTACTCAACTCTTTTTTTTTCTGTAGTACTTATCTTTTAAGTTACTATGTAATTTACTTACTAAAGATGTTTGTTGTCTTTCCATAGAAAGTAAGATCCATGAAGGCAAGATCTTTGGGGTTTTTTCCCTCAAAGATGTATCCCGAGTGCCTGGAACACTGCCTTGCACAAAGTAGGCACTCAATGAATAGTTGTAAAATGGAATGTGAGAATGATTGTTTCATTGTGTTTATGCTGCCTAGTGGTTACTTTTAGCCAGGTTTCATCTAGCTAATTCTTTGGAATTCAGGTGTTACCTCTTCTGTTATGATTCCCCTGATTAGAGGCCCATCTTAGCATGTAGCCCTTACTATAATTGTTAAATTGTCTCTCCCCTCCTAATAGTCTATGAAGTAGGACCTTATTTAGGTGGCAGTATAGTATAGGGATTCACCGCATGGACCCAGTGGCCAGGTGGTCTTGAGTCAAATCCTTGACCTATAGTATCCACTTCATGGAATAGTTAGAATTGTTAATATATGTGCCGCTTTTAGAAGAGTGAATGGTACATGGTAAACCTTATGTATAAGTGTGAGCTTTCTTTATTTTATGATATTCCTAACAATGTCAGGGACATAGGAGGTTCTAAAGAAATGTTTGCTGAATGAAGGAATTAGTTTTTTTGAAAGCCAGGGCATTTACTTATATTTTAAAATTAATTATTGGAAAAACGAGTTGTAGTAGTTATGCAGTGGTTTGCAGCTTTGGCTGCACATGAAAATTACTTAAGGGAGCTTTAAAAATACCATTGCCTAGGCTGATAGCCTAGTCAGTTATCAGAATCTTGGGAGGGGTGTAGAAGGTGGGGTTGGTGTGGAATTCAGGTATTGGTGTATTTTACTGCTCTCCACATGATTCTAATGTGCAGCCAAGGTTGAGAATCACTGGTTCAGTGGAAAGAATGCAGAATTCCTAGGAGTCAGTAAACTGGGACTTTGTTCCCAGCTTTGCTTCAAACTGACTGCTTTTTGGCAAATTACTCCTTCATGTCTCAGTTTTTGAAAACGTGATCTCCAAGGTCTTCTCTAACTGAAAATTTGTTGATTTTTATGGTTTTGTTAAGCTTAAATGAAAAGTATTTTTTCTTTTCCAGTCTCCTTTAGCATTGGAAACACCAAATCGGGTATCCTTGGGACAGTTATGGTTAGAGCTGCTTAAATTCTACACACTGGATTTTGCTTTGGAGGAATATGTCATATGTGTACGGATACAAGATATTTTAACAAGAGAAAATAAAAACTGGCCTAAAAGGCGAATAGCCATTGAAGGTGAGATGATATGTTGTATTTCATTTGGAGAATATTTTTTATGTGCTACTCATTATCTAATTCAGTGTTAATAATCCTTTGGCTTTGTGGCACTATATATATATGTCACTAGATTGTCATTCTTTATTTTTAATTTTTTTAGAGACAGGGTCTTGCCCTGTTGCCCAGGCAGAAGTGCAGTGATAGGATCATGGCTTACTGCAACCTCAAACTCATGGGTTCAAGGGATCCTCAGCTTCCTGAGTAGCTAGGACTATAGGCTTGTGCTACCATGCCCAGCTAATTTTTTTTATTTTTTGTAGAGATGGGGGTCTCACTGTGTTGCTCAGGCTGGTCTGGAACTCTTGGCCCCAAGTGATCCTCCTGCATTGGTCTCCCAAAGTGCTCGGATTATAGGCATGAGCCACCGTGCATGGCCTTCATTATTTATTTAGATTCTTTGTCAAGTCTATTATAGTTTTATAGAATTAGTATTTATTTAAAGATTTCTGCCATATATGGTTAAGGTCAGTAATTAGCATTTTTTAAATGTTGAAAATTTTATTTTTTAATTATGCAAACTTGCAGAAATACAGAAAAATATGTTATGAATAATATAAGATCTTTTTGAATAAATTTGTGTCATAAGATTATGAGAAAGTTTTCATTGTCTTTTAAAGTACCTCACCTAATAAATGTGGCTTCGCTAAAGGAGAAAAATAAAAACTGATGTTGACAAAGTTTCACATCAGATCCCAAGACCATTAAGATCTTTGGAGATACAGAAAACAATAGAGTGGCTCCTCAATTCTTAATCAAAAATTTAAATTTCACAGCATGTCACTTACCTTTTGTAGATAAGAAATTGAATTTATGTCCGTTTTAGTCTGTTCAGCCTACATATTATTCCATTCCCTCACACCTGCTGGCCTTCTCTACTGTGAGTTCAACCCAGAAATATTCTGAAATATACATGCAAACATTTATACACATCTTGTACTCTTATATATAGTAAATAAATGAGCTCTGAAGCCTGCCAGCCATAATTTATCTCTTTTTTTTTCTTTCTTTTCCCCCCCTCTTTCATTTTCTTTGGGAAGTGAGGAAGAAAGTAGAAAAATCTTTTTAAAGCCTGTGGATTTAGATAGCAGCAAAAAGTAACAGATGCCCCAACTTTAACAGTTTGAAGCCTGGCCTGTTAATACCAAAAGATCTTCAGTAGTGGAGAGCATATGTATTGTCTTTTTGGTGCACTGTTCTTTTTTCCTGGGGGTTATCTATATTTAAGGCTTACAGATATTTTCAGAAATCTGTCATGTTATTAATAATAAGGATGCAGCTGTGTCAAGACTTTACAGGGTAGTTATTTTTGACTGGATCAAAGTTTAAATATTGGTTTAATTTTTACTTTTTTAGGTTTCTTGCTTTTTTGCTCTTTCTTCCTACTACTGTCTTTTACTTTTTAATCTCACTAAAGTTAAATCTTAAAATCAGTTTTTTTTCAAGTTGAAGCCTTGAGAGTTTTAAGTTTGTTTTACTTGTTTATATTGCAAAGAGCATATAACTATATTAAAAAACACTGTGACCCGGGTGCAGTGCCTCATGCCTGTAATCCCAGCACTTTGGGAGGCTGAAGCAGGCGGATCACCTGAGGTCAGAAGTTCAAGACCAGCCTGGCCAACATGGTGAAACTCCATCTCTACTAAAAATACAAAAATTAGCTGGGCGTGGTGGCGTGTACCTGTAGTCCCAGCTACTCCGGAGGCTGAGTCAGGAGAATCGCTTGAACCTGGGAGGCAGAGGTTGCAGTGAGCTGAGATCATAGCACTGTACTCCAGCTTGGGGGACAGAGCAAGACTCCATCTCAAAAGAAAAAAAAAAACTCCTTTTTCCACAATTTCATCATTGAAACTAATTACTTAGTTGGCCTTCTCAGCCATCCCATTATTAGTGACCTTATTATTAGTCTTGTTTATTTTTCCTTTTAGCTTTTTATTTTATGAGAGAAAGAAAAAAATGTTGCAATTGTATTTCCTCCCATTTTCAGGAACTTTCACTGGGAGTCTAGCTTAGAAAAACCCCTTGGGAAAATGTATTCTCCTGACAGTTTATCAGTTAAGATCTACTTGTATGAGCTTGGAAATGTAGTTTGTTAGTAGAGACTTAGCTATTTACCATTTTCTCTTTTGCTAGATCCATTTTCAGTCAAGAGGAATGTTGCACGGAGCTTAAACAGCCAGCTGGTTTACGAATATGTTGTGGAGAGATTTAGGGCAGCTTATCGGTATTTTGCCTGTCCTCAGACGAAGGGTGGAAATAAGTCTACAGTGGATTTCAAGAAAAGAGAGAAGGGGAAAATAAGCAATAAGAAACCAGTCAAGTCGAACAATATGGCAACCAATGGTTGTATTCTGCTTGGGGAAACCACAGAAAAAATAAATGCAGAAAGAGAGCAACCTGTTCAATGTGATGAAATGGACTGTACATCACAGAGATGTATTATTGACAACAACAATTTGTTGGTAAATGAACTAGATTTTGCTGACCACGGACAGGACTCTTCATCTCTTTCTACCAGCAAAAGCAGTGAAATAGAGCCAAAATTAGATAAGAAACAAGATGATTTAGCGCCTTCAGAAACTTGTTTAAAAAAAGAGCTCAGCCAATGTAATTGCATTGATTTGTCTAAGTCGCCTGACCCAGATAAATCTACTGGAACAGACTGCAGGTCAAATTTAGAAACAGAGAGTTCACATCAGAGTGTGTGCACCGACACATCTGCTACCTCTTGCAACTGCAAAGCTACAGAAGATGCTTCTGACCTTAATGATGATGATAACCTCCCCACCCAGGAATTATATTATGTGTTTGATAAGTTTATTTTAACCTCTGGCAAGGTAGGATACAGTTTGTAAATGATCTGTAAGATTTTGTGGTTGTTGTATGACTATGTATATTTTTTAGATTAGAAATGTAAAAATAGCTATATAAAGTGGTGACTTGTTTTGGAATGATATTTTGGTATGTATTTTACCTTTTGTGTTTTTCATATAGTTGCCTTTAAATAATGTATATAAAGCCTCAAAAGGTTTCAGCATTCTATTACCAGTTGGTTTCCTTTACTTTCTCATATATGAAAGGATTCATCTGATATTTCATGAAAATCTTAGCAAAGGTAGCATGCATTTTAAATGTTGCTTATTTTGTATTTTTTTCCCCAACAAAAGCCACATTCAAGCTTATTTTTATACATAAAATTTTTCTTCCCCCCCCAAAATAAAAGGTTTGTAAATTCTAATAGTATTCTACTTTAAAGATATTTTTAGAGGGGGGAAATATAAGCATACTAAAGGTAGTTGAGGGAAACTAAGATTAATAGTCAAAAAAATGAAGAATCCAGATTCTGTTTCTGCTACTGAGCCTCTGGATTTCGGCTTATCCTATATGAATTACAGGAATCCAAACTTTTCTACTTTTTCTTTTCAAGTAAGATAGTATGAACTTATTACTACTATTATTTTGAGACAAGGTCTGGCTCTGTTGCCCAGGCTGAAGTGCAGTGGTGCAATCTCAGCTCACTGCAACCTCTGCCTCCCGGGCTCAAGCCATTCTCCCACCTCAGCCTCCTGAGTAGCTGGGACAACAGGCGCATGCCACCATGTCTGGCTAATTTTTGTATTTTTTTGTAGAGATGGGATTTCGCCATGTTGCCCAGGCTGGTCTCGAACTTGTGAGCTCAAGTGATCCGCCTGCTTTGGCCTCCCAAAGTGCTGGGATTATAGATGTGAGCTACTGCACCTGGCCAGATAGTCTGAACTTTAACTCATAAAGGAAATCATTTAAAATCATAGGAAAAAACCCATTGAACAGGAAGTAAGCGATAACTGCTTTGTGAATAAAACAAAGTTTTAACCGAATCACAGTACTTCAAGTGCATTCCAGATAATTGCAATATCATTATTAGTATCCATGTGAAAAAATGATTATACAGATCATGCATAAGCCAAGTAGAATATTAAAAAAAAACAAAAGGAAAGTCATCTAGCCTTATCCAGGCTTATTGTTTTATCGTAGTTATTGACAAGCTTTAAGATGTTTAACCTAATTATTAAATAGTATTGCCTGTTTTTTAAAAATCTGCTTTATTAAGGTATGGCTAGCATTTAAAAAGCTATAGATATTTAATGTCTACAACTGGATGTGTTTGAACTTAAGTATATATATTATTATCACTGTCAATGCCACAAACCTATCCATCCATCAGCTCCAAAAGTACCCTCCTCTTCTTTTCCTTTTGTTGTTAGAGAACTTAAGAGGTACCTTATTAGCAAATTTAAGAATATAATACAGTATTATTAATCTGTACAGATCTCCAGAACTACTTTGTACAGATCTCCAGAACTTATTTATTTTGCACAAATGAAACTTTGTACCCTTTGACCAACACCTCCCCATTTTCCCCTCCCAATAAGCAGTATTTCTTCATTCTATGTAAATATACATCTGTTGCATTTTATCTAGGTTGCAGTATTTAAGGCACATGCACTATTGAAAGCATCAAATAAATGGCAGGTTTTTAGAAAACTTAATTATATAACTTCAGTTTACATGTCTTATGCTTTATACTTTTTTTCCTGGAAACTTAGGGTAAGTACTGTTGTTCCAGTTTTCATTTTTACTATTTAAAGAGTTTCCTGCCTAAATATGTCATTTTTTAAAAAAAGCTTTGAAAAGGTGATAGAGATTCTTGTAGTACTGTTAATTAGCCCACAGTGCATCATTCTTACAAAGAGAGATTTCCTTATATAATTTGTATCAGAATTTATGGCTATATAAATGTCCAGGCTAACATTGGAGAAAGACACTTTAGGATGTAGGCATATTACAATAAAGAAAAGAGTATTGGTGTTTTTTAAACATATGTGTTTCTTTCTTTGAGTTGGCATAAATTTTTGTGTTTTAACCACTTGTTTGGTGTCCATTGAAATACATTTAAAATGGTTATATAGGGTTTGGAGTTCATTTTGTGGCTATTGGATAAGTTACTCTTCGTATGAAGCTAATTTATTTTTAGTGTTCAGTCTGCAGTTTGGTCTCTTGAGCAACTAATTTAGTAAATTAGTTTAATAATTTATTAAATATTAAATAATTTAATAATAAATTAGTTTAATTAATTTATTAATTTAATAAACCAACTAAGTGAGGGTTCTGTGATTGATTCAGAAAATAGAAAATGTTTGGAGTGAAATGAAAGGTGCACCTTAAAATTTCTTTATAACCTATTTTGTTAGATCTCAGTAAGTTAAAAATAAATGCATATATTTTCCTTTGGGAGCTGTTTGAATGAACTCATACTTTCTGCATCTCCTGGCATTTTCTGTATCTTCCATTTTCAGGTTAATTTAATCCTTGATATAATTTTAGTGGGGAAGAAAAAGTGGTTGACTCAAAAAACTTTTTTGTAGCTAATACTGCATTTTAACAACATGTTTTTTTTTTTAATTACCTCCTGAAAGCACAGGTTATCAAAACTGAGTTACATAAAAGATTTGTTTTGAATTCACTTCCTAAGTGATGAAGTCCCTCAAAAGTTTATTAGATTAGATTTCTTTTTATCTTTGTGTAGCCACCAACGATAGTATGCAGCATCTGCAAAAAGGATGGCCATTCAAAGAATGATTGCCCAGAGGATTTTAGGAAAATTGATTTAAAACCTCTACCACCAATGACAAACCGATTTCGGGAAATACTTGATTTAGTATGTAAAAGATGTTTTGGTAAGTCTTTCATTACTACAACTATTGGGACTAGATTCCTTCTTAGATATTAAATATTAATTTTCTGATTTAAAAACAGTTTGTTTACGTTTTGTTTTGCTAGAGGTTTTTGAATAGATACCCAAGCACAGATATTTACTAAATGACTATTATGTGCAGGGCATCATGGTAAATGCCAAGGGGAATTGAGAGTCCATATATATTGCTTTTAAGGAGCTTAAAATATGGATATGAGCTGTCTAACATGGTAGCTTCTAGCCTATGTGGCTTTTAACTTTAAATCAATTAAAATTAAATTAAAAACCAAGTTCTTCAGTTTTATACTAGACATATCTCAAGTACTCAGTAGCTACATGTGGCTAGTGGCTGCTGCATTGGACAGCATTGTTGATAGAGAACATTTTCATCACTGCAGCGTTCTTGGATAACACTATAGATGAGTTAATATGGCATTTATGTAAATTGCCATAATTGGAAATAGAATGTGTTACATGCTATAGTAGTGGTAAACAAAACGCAGTGTAAACACAATTTTATCTGGGGTGGATTAGAGGAATCAGGATTAATGATGTGATATTTGAGATGAACCTTGAGCTGCATTTTTAAACGTCAAAGATTATGCATAAAAGCATAGAGTGGCCGGGCGCAGTGGCCCACGCCTGTAATCCCAGCATTTTGGGAGGCCGAGGTGGGCCGATCATGAGGTCAGGAGTTCGAGACCAGCCTGGCCAACATGGTGAAACCCTGTCTCTGCTAAAAATACAGAAATTAGCTGGGCATGGTGGCCGGTGCCTGTAGTCCCAGTTACTCGGGAGTCTGAGGCAGGAGAATCGCTTGGACCTGGGAGGTGGAGGTTGTGGTGAGCCAAGATTATGCCACTGCACTCCAGCCCGGGCAACAGAGTGAGACTCCGTCTTAAAAAAAAAAAAAAAAAAAAAAAAAAGCATAGAGTGCATAATTTGTTTGGGGGAATAATTGCCTTTGATTTGGTAGGGTATAAGAAAGGCAATAGAGAGAGATAAGCCTATAAACATATTTTGGGGAACGGCTTGCATGCCTTTATTCAGCAAACGTTTACAGAGTACCTGGGAGTCACCTTTACTCAGCAAACATTTATGAATTACTTCCAGTGTCCAGGTAAGATAAAATTTCTGGTCATAACATTTAGTGCTTCATTGTAATCGCTCCCTTCTTCCCCATTTCTGCCTCCCACCAGGCAACTACTTTTCTGCTTTTGTCACTATAGATAGTTTGCATTTTCTAGAGTTCTGTATAAGTGGAATTATACAGAATGTATTCTTTTTTTGTCTGGCTTTTTTCACTCAGTATAATTACTTTGAGATTCATTTATGTTGTTGTGTATCGGTGGTTAATTTCTTCTTGTATCTGAGTAGTGTTCCATTGTATGGTTATACCACAATTTGTTTATCCATTCACCTGTTGATAAATATTTGTCTCATTTCAAAATTTTGGCTGGGTGGGTCTGGGTATGGACATATGCTTTTATTTATCTTGACTAAATACTTAGAATGGCTGGGTCATGGCACGTGTTTTTTAGCAGCTTTATTAAGATACAATTTACATTTATTTTTACTTAGTAATTTATTTACCTCAATGTGGGCTCATAGATATTTGATGCCTTGGGTTATAATTGAATATAATTTTCTTTTGTTCAGATTATTCTAGCTTTGGCCATTGGGAACTCTTTTACTTGACTACCTGGTCCCTTTTATATATATCCATCAGTGTGTGGTTTTTTTTGTTTGTTTGGGTTTTAACACTTCCATACTTTCTGGCACTACAAGATGCTCCTGGCACTGCATGTATATTTTGTGCCCTACTCCTAGAATTAGGCATTTGTCCAAGGAGCTGTGGTTCCTTTTATTGGAGAATGAGATTAGAAACCAAGACCTGAACACTAGATGTGCTTGCTGTTACTGGGCTGTCACTGCTTTGAGGCCATCTCAGAGCAACAAAATATGTGTGTATATACTAACCTATGTATATAAACTTACTATAAAGATTTCTATATGTAGCCGTCTTTTTTTTTTTTTTTTTTTGGAGACTGAGTCTCGCTCTGTCGCCCAGGCTGGAGTGCAGTGGCGCCATCTCAGCTCACTGCAAGCTCCGCCTCCTGGGTTCCAGCCATTTCTCCTGCCTCAGCCTCCCGAGTAGCTGGGACTACAGGCTCGTGCCATCACGCCCGGCTAATTTTTTGTATTTTTAGTAGAGACAGGGTTTCACTGTGTTAGCCAGGATGGTCTTGATCTCCTGACCTTGTGATCCACCCTCCTCAGCCTCCCAAAGTGCTGGGCTTACAGGTGTGAGCCACGGCGCACAGCCTGTATGTAGCCATCTTATCTGTATTAAACCAAACATGATTTCATAATGGTATATCCAACTCGAACTCATTACCACATGGCTCGTTTTAGCCCCCACTCCAACAGTGAGAAACCTGGTTCCCACCATCTATTATTCATTTTTTAAATTGTTCCATTTTAGTACATATGTATAGCAGTATCAGAACTGTTAACCAATACCCCTGTGGGAAACAACTTTATTAACTAGAGTACCGTGCTTATGTATGGTTTCTTTTGCCCTTAAGTCTTATCGATTCCACTCATTTTCAAATTTACTTAGGTCAGCACCTTTCCCCCCACTCCCTCATGTGAAGTTGTTTCATACATTTATAATATAGTTAGATTATTTTGTCACAGTCTACATTACATCCTGAGATCCCCTGACCTCCTAGATGATTTTTTTAAAATTGCATACATTAAGGCTCACTCTTTGTGCTGCAAAGTTCTGTGGGTTTTGACAAGTGCATTGTGTCATGTATCCACCATTAGAGTGTCATACAGAATAGTTTCACTGCCCTAAAACAAGTTAACGAATTACATTAATTTTATTTAACTCCCCTTCTTCTGTAAGCACTGATAACTGCATTTGTTTTTAAAAAGCTGAATATTAGTTTAATTCATTATAACAAATTCTTAATAAATTACTGCTTTGTTTCTGTTACTGTGTTAACTTTTGGGGATAAGTCTGGAAGAGATAGGGAAAAAAAGACTTTGTTCTTAAGAAATATATGGACTTATTTGGAAAAATAAGATGAATATAAATGAAATAACTAGAAAACCAAAAGGACAAAATAAATTAGGTACCAGACTGTGGCACACAGTTTGAAGAACTAAAGAAGTGTGGAACTAAGGAGAGATCATTGAAGGCTGTGGTTAGGCAAAACAGTTTATAGGGAAGATAGAAATTTTGACCAGGCATTTGAGGGAACTGTTAAATTTGAGTGGGCCAGATGCCTAGTATAGCAACATGAATACAGATCTTAACAAATGGGAAAATAAGCATGGATATGGGGGAGAGTGAAGAAGTAAATAGGTTTGTAGATATACGGAAAATGATCATGTGAAATGTACATATATCTTAAAAATTATTTTTCTGTTTCATTTATTTTCGTTTCTTCCCCTGGGTTGCTAAAACAGAAAAACAGTTTTTTTCCTTCTATCTCCCAGACCCTTCCCCAGTAACATTTATGGTTTTAAAGTCAGAGAAGTCAACAAATAATGAACAAACTGTAAGTAAAATTTTTAGGGTAAAAACTTGAAGATGTTTTCAGATTCTGTTTTCCTTACTTTTCTTTTTCCTTTTTTCTTCTTTTTATAAACCCAGATGAGTTATCACCACCTTGTTCTGAACAACACAACAGGGAGCAAATTTTAATTGGCTTGGAAAAGTTTATTCAAAAAGAATATGATGGTATGTCATAGGTTAAAAAATTTATTGCGTTTTTGCTGTAGTCATGTAGTCTTGAGTTTCATTTATTTAAAAATATTTATTGAATGCTATGTGTTAAGTACTGTTCTAGTTGCTGGGAATACAGTGCTAATAAAAGAGATGAAACCTCATGAAGCTTATGTTTCAAATGGGGAGACAAATAGTTGACTAATAAATATATAATATTATATCAGCAAATAATACATGCTGTTAAAAGTATAGGAGATAAAAGAACTGAAGTGATGGAGTGTTATGATAGGCCTCTCTCATAAGGTAGCATTTGAGGAGAATCCTGAATAACATGAAGGAGCAAGTTATATAAATATCCAAGGAGAAAACATTGTTGATGGAACAAGAATAGATTATGTTTGGCATATTTGAGGAATAGCCAGGAAGTCAGTGTGGCTGGAGTGGAGTATTAGAGGTAGATTGTAATGTATAGAAGAGGTCAGAGAGGGGGTCTAGGGATTAAGTCATTAGTGCCTTATGGATGTTGGTAGAAAGCCTTTGAATTTTATTTTGAGTACCTAATGAGAATCTTTTAGAGGATTTTTAGTTAATAAATGACATGATCTGAGTGAATGGTTTGCTGGGCTATAAGACTGGAAGCAAGCAGAACATTTAGGAGGCTGTTGTGTGAGTCCAGAGTAGATGAGAAGTGGTCAGATTTGGGATATATTTTGAAGGTAGAACCAATAGGATTTGCTGATGGAAAATGTGAGGCATGAGAGAAAGAAAGAAATCAAGGATGGTTTCAAGGTTTTTGCTATAACAGTTACAGTAGGTGGTCCTATATAACTGAGATGGCAAAGAGCAGGAAGAGTAAGTTTTGGGCATGGGGATGAAGAATCAAGATTTTTGTGACTAAATATTTTAGAAAAGGATAAAAGTTGACTTTAATCAGAATGAATTTGTACTTTTACAAGATGACCCATTATGTGCTACATATTACAATTAAAAGTATTTGAAAACAAATATTTTTTAAATTAAAAAATCATATCATCATTATTGTTTTTTAGAGACAGGTTCTCACTCTGTTGCCCAGACTGGAGTGCAGTGGCATGATCATAGCTCACTGCAGCCTCAAACTTCCGGGCTCAAGCAATCCTCCTGCCTTAGCCTCCCAAGTCGTTAGGACTACAGGTGTGTGCCACCATGCTTAGCTAATTTATTTTTTATTAAGAAATATTTTTTTTGGCCAGGTGCGGTGGCTTACACCTATAATCCCAGCACTTTGGGAGGCTGAGGAAGGTGGATCACCTGAGGTCAGGAGTTCGAGACGAGTCTGGCCAATATGGCAAAACCCGTCTCTACTAAAAGTACAAGAATTTGCTGGGTGTGGTGGCACACGCCTGTAGTCCCAGCTACTCAGGCTGAGGCAGGAGAATCACTTGAACCTGGGAGGCAGAGGTTGCAGTGAGCCAAGGTCATGCCTTTGCACTCCAGCCTGGGCGACAAGAGCGAAACTCTGTCTCAAAAATATATATATATATATATATATATTTTTTTTTTTTTTTGAAATAGGATATTACTCTGTCACCCGGGCTCAACTGCAGTGGTGCAATCATGTGATCAGGGTTCACTTCAGCCTTGACCTCTGAGGCTCAAGCGATCCTCCTACCTTAGTCTCCTGAGTAGCTGGGACCACAGGTGCGCGCCACCACACCCAGCACATTATTTTTTGTAGAGATGGAGTCTCACCATGTTTTCCAAGCAGGTCTCAAACTCCTGAACTCAAGTGATCCACCCACCTCAGCTTCCCAGAATTCTAGGATTACAGGCATGAGCCACCGCACCTCGCCTTCTTTTTTATCTTAAAAAATTTTTGTAAAGACAAAGTCTCACCATGTTGCCCAGCCTGGTCTCAAACGATCCTCCCACATTGGTTGGCTTCCTGAAGCGCTGGGATTATAGGAGTATATAAAGTATTGACCAAATCTAAGTCTCTATTATATAAAATCATGCTCAGTTTTATTTGCTGATGAGTATAGCTTCTTTTTTGCCTCTCAGCTATCATTGAAATTTCAAGTAGAGCATCAGAACTGGATGGGGGTATGAAGTTTTGAAAGTATAAAGTGTCCTATAAATGTGTAGTCTACTTTAGAATTAATAGGAAGAGCCAGGCCCAGTGGCACACACCTGTTATCTCAGCCACTTGGGAGGTTGAGGTGGGAGTATTGCTTGAGGCAAGGAGTTCAAGACTGTAGTGTATAATGATTGTGCCTGTGAATAGCCAGTGCACTCTAGCCTGGGCAATATAGCAAGACCCTGTCTCTAAAAAAAAAAAAGTAATAGGAAGAAAAATCCAATTCTGTTAAACCACAGCTTATTTGAAATGGTAGCTGTTATTGGATGACACTGAGTCTGAAGGGTTAACCCTATCATAATTTATATCAAGTGGACTATAATCACTCATTTTTGGAAGAGCATCGTATACTAAGGTGATATTTGTAAACCTACATGAATTGTGCTTTGAAAGAACTAATTTATTTTTAAGAGGGCAGTCCTCAAATATTGATCTTAACTATTGGTAGTGATGTTGAGAATGTATAAAAGCAGATGGATTTATTATGTAAGTCGGAAAAAGCTAAAAGTCTCAATGATTGTTTGGATGTGGACATTGAGAGACAGATATTAAGGATTGCACCTGTATTTCTGATGTGGGCATCTGTGTACATGATGGTACTATTTGCTAAGAACAGGGATAATAGAAATAGTAATAGATTTGGGGCAAAGTTGATAGTTCAGACGTGTTGAATGTATGATGTCTGTGGAAAATTGGAAAAAGCAGTTGGGTACATGGGTATGGGAACTTGGGCAAAAGCTTGGGCTCAAGATGTTTTGGAATTTCTCAGTATTTCTTCCAGTGGTAGGTAATTTAAATCATAGAAATGGACAAGAGCATGTTGTATTAGGTCATCAGCAGATAGCAGAAGACTCCTCCTCTCTGCTTATAATAAGGCCTTGGACTTTGTTTTCCTTTGCTTAGAAAAGGCAAGGTTGTGCTTATTTGGCTCTTCTAAGAATGGATTTGGATTTCGTGATAGTGATCTGGATATTTGTATGACCCTGGAAGGCCATGAAAATGCAGAGGTAAGAGTGTTTGGAAAGCGTTATGTAAGTTTATTTTCTCCCAATGACGATTCTATGTTTATTTTTGTATGTGATATTGATAAAAATGTGGTATCACTCTTTGTATAAATATATTAGCAAAATAAGTGTTTGAAATATGAAAACAGTAGCATTTTCAGTTTAGAAGACATTGAACTCTTAAGTAAAAGTGTTTCAGTAATTTTATGATACAAAAACCATGTCACTGAGAGTTACAGTGATTTGTAATGAATTTTGGGAAAAAATATATCACGAAGTTGGAATTTTTTCACTAGAACCAATGGGAAGCTGATGCATCAGTTTTGTAGTGAACATTGATCTTTCATACTTTGTCTTCTCATATCTCTTTCATTAGATGATGTCTTTGTGTTACTATAGGTAGTAAATATAGGTGGTCATCTAATTTATAATTGGTTTTGTTCTAAAAGTTAGTTATAATTTTTGACCACTCACATAAAATTTTTTCCATAGAAGCAATGTTACAGATGATATGCTAAGGGCTGGGCGTGGTAGCTCATGCCTGTAATCCCAGCACTTTGGGAGGCCAAGGTGGGCGGATCATGAGGTCAAGAGATCAAGACACTCCTGGCCAACATGGTGAAACCCCGTCTCTACGAAAAATAAAAAAAATTAGCTGGGCATGGTGGCACGCGCCTGTAGTCCCAGCTACTCAGGAGGCTGAGGCAGGAGAATCGCTTGAACCCAGGAGGCGGAGGTTGCAGTGAGCCGAGGTCACGCCACTGCACTCCAGCCTGGTGACAGAGTGAGACTCCGTCTCAGAAAATTAAAAAAAAAATAAATAAATAAAATGCTAAGATAGCTTTTAGAAACTCATTTTGGGCGGGGAGGAGAACTAACATTTATTGAGTTCCCAGTATACACTTTTACATACATTATCTCATTTCATTCTTACAACCACCTTCGAGGTAGGTATTATTTCCCCCATTTTACAGATGAGGAAACTGAGGCTTTGAAAGATAAACTGACTTGTCCAAGTTCACACAGCTAGTAATTGTTGGAGCCGGGATTCGTAACCCAGGTCTGTCTGACTCCAGAGTTCATGCTCTTTCCATTGTATCTCACTGCCTCTCTGTAATTTTTTTAACCCATAATGTAGCTGAAATATAGTACTAATAGTACTGTAGAACCTAACCACTGCTTTCTGAAACTGATAGCTTTCTGAGTTCCACCGTGAGATGCCAGGAGCAGACCTTCCCCAAGTGCAATTTCAGCAGTAAGAGTGGGTACTTACGCTTTCCTTTTTTGTATACCAGGCCTTAATAGTGGGAAGGAGATTGTCCAAGCTCCAGGGAAGAAAAAGACTGATTGGACAGGGAAGAAGTGTCCCAGGCCTTCTCAACAGCAACTAGCAAAGGAGGGTATCCTTGTAGATGTTCAGTCCTTTACCAGCCTAGCTATTGTTATTTATGTTTCAAAATGCGGGACTGTTTGCAAGATTGGGGTGAGGCCCAGCTTCTGGCATCTGTAGTGGTGTCAGTATCGCCTCTGTTACATTATAAAAGAATTCAGCAGAATAGTGTGCTTTTCTAAAATCATTCTTTTGAACGGTGGTTTTGAAATTGTTAGACCCGGAGTAAAGATGGCAGTGATGACTTAACTTCTGGCCATAAGAAGTTGCTTCTGGTGTCTTAACATCTTGTTTTATAAAGAAACTGAAAAGTTGCAAGTATTTTATTTGTTCTCCTTTACTTAAATTCTGCTTAGAGCCACCTACTTGGAAAGTGGCTGCCCTTCTCCATTCTGAAGAGTAAGAATTGAGGGAATAGGAAATGATTTTTATACCCAGGAAAGAGGTTAGAGTTTTAGATATCTTCTATGTAAAATTTATTAAACTTCTAATCACTAAGGGTTTGTATATTATATATAATCTGTGCCATTCCTACTGGGAAGTTGAAACAATGAAAATAATAAATCATTTTCTTTCAGATGAGCCATAATTGAAACTTTTAAGATTAGCATAATTGTATCGTTGAATAATAAAGAGAAAAATTACCTCCTTTGTTAATTTTATCATATGTGAATTAGTAACTAATGGTTTCTTTGAAATCCTTTGGTTTAGCTGCAATGGCTCCTGCTCTCATGTAGCTAAAAAGAACATGTTGGAAAAATGCAAATGACTTTATAACTCTTGGGATTGATGTTTATACCCTTCAGCTATTTCCAGTTAATTTTTAATGCCATAATCATTATGTATTATGATTATCATTACCATACCAACTCTGCTGTCTCTGGTTTTTACAAGAGTAACACATTTAAATTTACAGAGGTAAGAATTTCCTTGGAGAAATAGGTGCTGGTGATAATAGGAGTATCTTTCTTTTCCATATCAACATAATTATAATAAATAACTCACAGATTTAAAGGCTTATTTTGTGCCAGGCATTCTGCTGAGTGCTTTACATACATGTCTCATGTAATCCTCCCAACAGCTCTGCAGGACAGGAGTTTATGATTATCTTGATTTTATAGAATAGTAATGTAATGCTCAGAGAGGTTAAACATCTGGTTAGTCACACAGCTAATCAATACTTAGTTTAAGATTTGAGACTGGGTGCAGTGGCTCACGCCTGTAATCCCAGCACTTTGGGAGGCTGAGGCGGGCGGATCACGAGGTCAGGAGATCGAGACCATCCTGGTGAACACGGTGAAACCTGGTCTCTACTAAAAATACAAAAAAATTAGCCGGGCACGGTGGCGGGTGCCTGTAGTCCCAGCAACTCGGGAGGCTGAGACAGGAGAATGGCATGAACCCGGGAGGCAGAGCTTGCAGTGAGCCGAGATAGCACCACTGCACTCCGGCCTGGGCGAAAGAGCAAGACTCCGTCTCAAAAAAAGAAAAAAAAAAAAAAAAAAAAGATTTGAATCCAGGTTTGTCTCAATTTGGAGCCTATGTACTTAATCAGTATATTGTTTTGCCCTCACCAAACTCACCTCTAGTTGTTTATTCACTTATTGAAAACCATATTCTTCTCCTGTCTTTGTGCTTCTCAAACTTTAATCTGCATGTGAATTACCTTGGGATCCTGTTAAAATGCAGATTATGATTTAGTAGACTGGGGAGGGTCCTCAGATTCTGCATTTCTATCAAGTTTCCAGATTATGCTGATACTGTAGGTCTATGAATCACTTACTTGGAGTAGCAAGGTTATTATAGAGCTTTATGGCTGGAAATTGTAAATGCTACTATTAAATGCTTAGATTAAAGTAGAATTTGCACAAGGTGAAATTGAGTCAAACTTATTTATTTGATTTGTTTTTTAGAAATTAAATTGTAAGGAAATAATTGAAAATTTGGCAAAAATTCTTAAGAGACATCCAGGTATGAATTTTGAATCTTATCTGTAAAACAAAATAAATTTTTTTAGCATATATGAAAATTATTTAACCTACTGAAGTCTTTTTTTTTTAAATTAGGTTTAAGAAACATTTTGCCTATAACTACTGCCAAAGTGCCTATAGTAAAATTTGAACACAGGCGAAGTGGGTTAGAAGGCGATATCAGTTTATATAATACGTTGGTAAGTTTATCTTTATAGGCCATGTATATACTTTTCATTTTAAAAGTTTACAGATTACTGACTCTATGTTTAAAACTTTCAAATGTGAACAGTATAAGGAAAAAGTATTTTACTAGTTATCTTGATAGTTCCTTCAGATTGAAGGTCAGTTTTTGTTTGACTCATTAATAGGTGTTTTACATTTTACATTTATATATTTTGTATTTGGAGTGTATTTTACTTTTAAATCTGATTTGTAGTTTAATTTTACGAAATTTGAAATCCTTTCAAATATGTAATTATTTTTCAGGCTCAACATAACACAAGAATGCTAGCTACTTATGCAGCTATTGATCCTAGAGTGCAGTATTTGGGATATACTATGAAAGTGTTTGCTAAGGTATTTATGAAAAAATTAATGATCTGCTTTGTTCATGATAATTAAAATGAAACATAACTAATGTCAGATTTGTGAAAAATTTTGTCTCAGTTTTGTTTATCTGAGCTTTTAAAAAAGAAACTTTCAGTATTATATAGCTTGAATAGATACCTATCAGAGTAGGGTGGCTCTGTCTTTTTTTCCTGTATGTATTCTATTCCCATGTGCAACTGACTAGTCAGTTTCTCAGCAGTAACATTTCTCAATGCAGTGATTTTAGCCCCAGGCATGGGAGTTGGCATATCATCCTAGTTAAGAATTTCTGAGTTAAGAAATCTTATATTTGAGTTTAGTGATAAGTTTTTCTGACCCAGAAAACAAAACAATACCAATAATACCTTACGCTTCTCCTATTATAACACTTGTTATGACATTGAATTTAGTTTTCTCATTCTTTTGCTAATTGTGTAAACTAGGTGAGAACAGGAACCTCTGTTTCTCTAGTTCATTGTAGTGCCTGCTTTGTGGTAGCTGCTCAGTGGAATGATTAATTTTATTAATGTGTTAGTGGAAGAGTTTTAGTAGGGGAGAAAGTTGGTCAGATTTTCATTTCATAAAGCTTCCTCTTTCTAATAGGAAGGCTATTGTTGTTGTTGTTGTTGTTCCTGTTGTTGAGATGGAGTCTCACTCTGTCACCCAGGCTGGAGTGCAGTGGTGGGATCTCAGCTCACTGCAACCTCCGCCTCCTGGGTTTAAGCGATTCTCCTGCCTCAGCCTCCCAAGTAGCTGGGATTACAGGCATTCACCACCATGCCTGGCTAATTTTTGTATTTTTAGTAGAGACGGGGTTTCACCATGTTGGCCAGGCTGGCCTCAAACTCCTGACCTCAAGTGATCCTCCAGCCTCGGCCTCCCAAAGTGCTGGGATTATTGTGCCTGACTGGAAATCATATTTTTAAAGATATTCCTGTACATGTCTTTCTAGACAAGAGTGTATCTTAGAAAAGCATAGAGGCACATACTACATACAAGACTTGATATGCCTACTTTTCTAGATTCACCTAACAAGGTAACTCTAACATGACAGTTTTGTTATAACTACATAGAATTCTGTTAATTAAATCACCCCTTTTCCCTTTAAATATAGATATAAGCTAAATCCTTGCTCAAGGGAAGAAGTCTCTGAAGATTCTTTCAGGTTTCATTCCTCCTCCCTCTCCTCTCCCCCCTCCCCTATATTTTTTTAATTTTTATTTTAATTTCATGTTTTTTTGAGATGGCGTCTTTCTCTGTCACCCAGGCTGGCGTGCAGTGGCACAATCTCGGCTCACTGCAACCTCCACCTCCTAGATTCAAGCAGTTTTCCCTGCCTCAGCCTCCAGAGTAGCTGGGATTACAGGTGCCTGCTACCACGCCTGGCTAATTTTTGTATTTTTGGCAGAGACGGGGTTTTGCCATGTTGGCCAGGCTGGTCTTGAACTCCTGACCTCCTCCGCCCGCCTCGGCCTCCCAAAGTGCTGTGATTAGAGGCGTGAGCCACCACCCCCAGCCTTTATTTTTATTTTTGAGGCAGGATTCCACTCTGTTGCCCAGGCTGGAGTAAAGTGGTGTGATTACAGCTCACTGCAGCCTTGACCTCCTGGGCTCAATTGATCCTCCTACCTCAGCCTCTTGAGTAGCCAGGACTACAGGCGTGTGCCACCATGCCCAACTATTTTTTGTATTTCTTGTAGAGATGGGGTTTCGCCATGTTGCCCAGACTGGTCTTGAACTCTTGGGCTCAAGCAATCCACCCTCCTCAGCCTTTCGAAGTGCTGAGATGACAGGCATGAGCCACCATGTCTGGCTTCCTTGTTCTTTTTTTTTTTTGAGACGGAGTCTCGCTCTGTCGCCCAGGCTGGAGTGCAGTGGTGCTATCTCGGCTCACTGCAAGCTCTGCCTCCTGGGTTCACGCCATTCTCCTGCCTCAGCCTCCCGAGTAGCTGGGACTACAGGCGCCCGCCACCACACCCGGCTAACTTTTTTATTTTTAGTAGAGATGGGGTTTCACCGTGTTAGCCCCTTGTTCTTTGTTTTTTATTTATTAAAAAAGATGTTTATCCTAACCACGAGACCATCAGGGGACTTCGTTCTTTTTTTAATGGTTGCATACCATTCCATTATGTGAATAGTCGTTAATTATTTTAAACCTGCGCCTGCACTTTATTGATGAACCTAAAACTATTTCTGATTTTTTGCTATTAAAATAGTGCTGCAATTAAAAAAACCTTCTTAGTCATTTCACATATGTTTTGGCATGTTTGCAGGGTACATTCTTAGAATAGGATTGCTGGTTCAAAGAAAATGTGCTTTTGTAATTGTGATATTGTCAAATATTCTTCATAGTGTTTGTATTAATTTATACTCTCACCTGCAGTGTGTGAGAGTACCTGTTTCCCCACGTCATGTATAGTAGTTTTTTGTTTGTTTGTTTGTTTGTAAGATGGGGTCTCACTGCATTACCCAGGCTGGTCTTGACTTCCTGGGCTGAAGCTTTTCTTTCACCTCAACCTCCCAGAGTGTTGGGATTATAGACGGTGCAGTTTGTTTTTAACTCAGTTTAACCCAGTTCTGTGGGTTAAAAAAAATGATGTGGCAGAATGTTTAATATACTTCTGCATGGAGTAAGACTCTGAAGTTTTGTTTTCAATCATGTTGTTTTTTAGCGATGTGACATTGGGGATGCTTCCAGGGGAAGTTTATCTTCATATGCATATATCCTTATGGTGCTGTACTTTCTGCAGCAGAGAAAGCCACCTGTTATCCCAGTTCTACAAGAGGTAGGTGTTTAAGAAAACTATAAAGGAGTTTTTTTTGAAAACAATAGATCTAAACACAGGAGATTTTGCTTGGTTCATGTCATCATGAAGGATTTTTCCATCATGGTTGTCCTAAGTTTTCTCTTTCCATTAATGCTATAATTAAACAATGAATATTTTTGAAAAATTTATTATGGGAGAATATAGACTACCAAAAGAATATTAGATGAATAGAACCATTGAATATCTTTTGTAATGTTTTTAAATTTTACAGTCTTAGAGTGCTGTGGATGATTGTGAAGTTCTTGTAGCCAGCCATGAACTCATATATTTTATAGTCTCCAAGATGCAAGTACATAAGTTTCTTCTTTCTAGAATATTTTCCCTCCTGTTGCCTGGCAATGAAGATTGATTTATTCTTATGTATACTTTGGTCAACCTTGTGAATTTTGGTTTAGAATGAACCCAGGGAAACTCTTCCTTATCTCTTCTGAAGTCATATTAATTACATTAAACATAAGAATGTACATTGAAAGAAACAGATTATACTCATTCACTCAGAATTGGTGACTTATAAAGTTCCTTTTTGTAGTCAATTTATACTCTCTGAAATTGGTACAAAGGAGATATTAATCATCCATCTGTTCCGCCTGATTCTTGGCACAAAGTAGATTTGTAGGCGTTAGGGAGGATCCAATTCAAATTTTTTAGAATGGTGACTATTTTTATTTAGGAGACAAGCATCAGACTTGGTTGGAAAAGTCACATATTCTGGTTTCACATAATCTTTGATAGTTATGGCAAAGAAGAAAATCACAAAATAGGCTGGGCGTGGTGGCTCACGCCTGTAATCCCAGCACTTTGGGAGGCCGAGGCGGGCAGATCACGAGGTCAAGAGATCGAGACCATCCTGGCCAACATGGTGAAACCCCGTCTCTACTAAAAATATAAAAATTAGCCGGGCGTGGTGGTGCGTGCCTGTAATCCCAGCTACTCGGGAGACTGAGGCAGGAGAATTGCTTGAACCCGGGAGGCAGAGGTTGCAGTGAACTGAGATCTCACCACTGCACTCCAGCCTGGTGACAGAGAGGGAGAGTCCATCTCAAAAAAAAAAAGAAAAGAAAAAAAAGAAAAATCACAAAATTATAAGCCATATAGTAGGTGTCAGATAGCCTTAGTAAGTTTTAAGAAGTTCTAATGAATATATATGGTTTTACCAGCGTTTCCTTCCCTGTTTTAAACAATGGATGGGAATCCTTTCCTAGCCAAAGATTTAAGTTGCTGAATCTGTGTTGGGTGATGTATGTTTGGGTGTGTGTTTAAAGTATTTTTTCAGAGCAGTTTTAAGTTCACAGCAAAATTGAGAGGACTGTAAAGAGTTTCCAACATACCTCCTGTACCCACACATGCATAGCCTCCCCCATTATTAACCCCACCAGAGTGGTACATTTTTTACAACTGATGAACCTACATTGACATATAATCACCCGAAGTCCATAGTTTGCAATTAACATTTATTCTTGATGTTGTATATTCTAAGGGTTTGGACAATATATAATGATGTACACATTTTATCATAATCAATGATACATCAATATATGCCATTACAGTATCATACAGTTTTCAGTGCCTTAAAAATTTTTGTACTTTGCCTAGTCATCCTCCCCTCAACCCCTGGCAACCACTAATCTTTGTGCTGTTGTCTTCATAGTTTTGACTTTTCCAGAATATCATATTGTTGGAATCATATAGTATGTAGCCTTTTCAGATTGACTTCCATCACTCAGTGATATGTGTTTAAATTTCCTCCATGTCTTTTCATGGCTTGATAGCTCATTTCTTTTTCTTTTTCTTTCTTTTTTTTTTTTAATTTTTAAATGTTCAGACTTTTTTGTTGAACCTCTAAATCTATTTTATCTTTTTTTTTTTTTTTTTTTTTTTTTTTGAGACACAGTCTCGCTCTGTTGCCCAGGCTGGAGTGCAGTGGCATGATCTCAGCTCACTGCAACCTCCACCTCCGGGGTTCAAGCGATTAAAGCAATTCTCTTGCCTAAGCCTCCTGAGTAGCTGGGATTACAGGTGTGCACCACCACGCCCTGCTGGTTTTTGTATTTTTAGTAGAGTGGGGTTTTACCATGTTGGCCAGGCTGGTCTCTAATGTCTGACCTCAGGTGATCCACCCGCCCCGGCCTCCCAAAGTGCTGGGATTACAGGCATGAGCCACCACGCCTGGCCTATCATTTCTTTTTAGTGCTCAGTAATACTCCATTGTTGGGATGTACCACAGTTTATTCATTCACATATGGAAAAATATCTGTTTTACTTCCAAGTTTTGGCTATTAAGAATAAAGCTGTTACAGACATCTGTGTGCAAGTTTTTGTATGGACATAGTTTTCAGGTCTTTTGGGTGAATACGAAGGAGTCACATTGCTGAATCATATGTACGAGTATGTTTAGTTTTGTAAGAAATGGCCAGCTGTTTTCCAAAGTGGCTGTACCAGTTTGCATTTCTACCAGCAATGTGTGAGAGTTCCTGTTGCTCCACATCCACCCAGCATTTGAGTACTTGTCCATGTTCTGGATTTTGGCCATTCTTTTAGGTGTGTAGTAGTCTTTCTTTCTTTCCTTTAGGTGTATAATCATCTGTCTGTCTGTCCATCCATCCTCCCTTCCTCCTTCCCTCTCCCCCCCTCCCCTGCCCTCCCCTCCCTTCCTCTCCCCCGTCTTTTTTTTTTTTTTTTTTTTTTTAAAGGTAGCGTCTCACTCCTGTTGCTGCCCGGGCTGGACTGTGCAATCATGGCTCCCTGCAGCCTCAACTTCCCAGGCTAAGGTGATTCTCCCACCTCAGCCTCCTGAATAGCTGGGACTACGGGTGCACACCACCAAGCCCAGCTAATTTTTTATATATTTAGTAGAGATGGGGTTTTGCCATGTTGCTCAGGCTGGTCTCGAACTCCTGGGCTCAAGCCCACCTCGGCCTCTCAAAGTGTTGAGATTACTTTTAATGGCAAAACCGCAATTACTTTTGCTTCAATCTAATATTTTGTTTTATTTATCTATTTATTTATTTTTGAGAGAGGGTCTTGCTCTGTTGTCCACGCTAGATTACAGTGGCACAATCTCCACTCACTGCAACCTCCACTTCCTGAGCTCAAGTGATCCTCCTAAGTAAGCCTCCCAAGTAGCTGGGATTACAGACATGAGCCACCATGTCTGGCTAGTTTTTGTATGTTTTATAGAGATTGGGTTTCTCCATGTTGCCCAGGTTGGTCTCGAGCTCTGGGCTCAAGTAATTTGCCTGCCTTGGCCTCCCAAAGTGAGTGCTGGGATTACAAGTGTGAGCCACCTCACCTGGCCACTGTTGTTTTAATTTGCATCTCCCTGATGACATTATGCGGAAATCTTTTCATATGCTTATTTTGCCATTCATATGTCTTCTTTGGTGAGGTTCTTTGGTCCATTTTTTTAAACAGGTTATTTTCTTACTGTTGAGTTTAAGGAGTTCTTTGTGTATTTTGAATAATAGTCCTTTATCAGATGTGTGTTTTGCAACTATGTTCTCCATGTCTGTGGCTTGTTTTTTCATTCCCTTGACGTTGTCTTTTGCAGAGCAGAAAATTTTAATTTTAGTAAAGTCCATCTTGTCAATTATTTCTTTCATAGCTCTTGCCTTTGGTGTTGTGTCTAAAAAGATATCACTATACTCAAGGTCATACAGATTTTCTCTTGTGTTTTCTTCCAGGAGTTTTATTTTACATTTAGGCCTGTGAGCCATTTAGAGTTAATTTTTGTGAACGGTATAAGGTCTATGCCTAGATTCATTGTTTTGCGTGTGGATGTTCATTTGTTTCAATACCATTTGTTGAAAAGAATATTATTTCTCCACTGTATTGTCTTTGCTCCTTTGTCAAGGATCAGTTGACTATATTTATGTACTATATTTATATACTTTTGGGCCCTCCACTGTTGCATTGATTTATTTATTATTTCACCAATGCCATACTCTCTTATTTATAGTAGTGTTATAATAACTCTTGAGGTTGGGTTGCATCAGTCTTGCAGCTTTGTTCTTCTCCTTCAATATTGTGTTAGCTATTCTGAGTCTTTTGCCTCTCTATGTAAACTTTAGAATCAGTTTGTCTATATCCACAAAATGACTTGCTAGAATTTTGATTGGGATTGAATTGAATCTGGAGACCAAGTAGGGAAGAACTGACATCTTGACAATTTTGAGTCTTCCTGTCAATTATAATGGAATATCTCTCCATTTATTTAGTTCTTTGATTTTGCTCATCAGAGTTTTGTAGTTTTCCTCATGTAGCCCTTGCACATATTTTGTTAGACTTACACCTATGTATTTCATTTTTTGGTGCTGATGTAAATGGTATTGTATTTCTAATTTCAAATTCCACTTGTTCATTGCATGTATCTGGGAAAGTGTTTGAATTTTTTATATTAATCTTGTGTCTTGTAAACTTGCTGTAATTGCTTATTCTTGGAGTATTGTTTCAATTTGGATTTTATGCATGGATTATCATGTCATATGTGAACAGTTTTATTTCTTCTCACCCTGTATACCTTTTATTTCCTTTTCTTGTTTCATTGCATTAGCTAGAACTTCCAGTGTCAGCATTACCTAAGACTTCCCAGATGTTGAAAAGGAGTGGTGAAAGAGAACATCCTTGTATTATTCCTGATTTTACAAGGGAAAGCATTGAGTTTTTCACCATTTGAGTATGATGTTAGCTGTAGGATTTTTGTAGATTTGTTTAACAAGCTGAGGAAATTTTCCTCCATTCTTAGTTTATAGAGTTTTTTTTTTTTTTAATCATGAATGTGTGTTGGATTTTGTCAAATGCTTTTTCTGCATCTATTGATCGTGACTTTTCTTCTTTAGCCTGTTGATGTGATGGGTTACTAAGGAGAAAACACACACTCAAACCCAAAATGCTTTTTATTTCTTTTTTTTTTTTGAGACGGAGTTTCGCTCTTGTCACCCATGCTGGAGTGCAGTGTTGCAATCTCTGCTTACTCCAGCCTCCGCCTCCTGGGTTCAAGCGATTCTCCTGCCTCAGCCTCCCCAGTAGGTGGGATTACAAGTGCCCACCACCATGCCCGGCTAATTTTTTTGTATTTTTAGTAGAGACGGGGTTTCACCACGCAGGCTAGTCTCGAACTCCTTATGTCAGGTGATCCACCTGCCTCAGCCTCCCAAAGTGCTGGGATTACAGGCCTGAGCCCCCACGCCCAGCCCCCAAAATGTTTTTTCTATTCTCTTACTCAACAACAATAATCACAGAAGACTTCTGTGACCAAATGTGTTGGGGGGGTTTTCCCCATATACCAAGCAAGCAACCACTTCTGCGTTGAACACCATGGTGTCCTCCAATTCAATTCTGGCACCATCTGTAGTATCAGATTCCACTGGTTGACGGCTCAGTCCCACAAGACTATCCCCAGTTTAGACACCAGTTGCAAGTCTAGGCCCTCCAGAACTTCTGACTGACCAGCTTAAAGTTTGGGTTCCTATGACGACCTCTTTGGGTTTGATTAATTTGCTAGAATGGCTCACAGAACTCAACCATTTACTTAGGCTTACTGGTTTATTATAAGGGATATTACAAAGGATATAAATGAAGAAATACATAAAACAAGGTATGGGAGAAGGGATGAGGAGTTTTCATGCCCTATCAGGGCATACCACCATCTAGGAACCTCCATGTGTTCAGCTATCAAGAAGCTATTTGGACCGAGACCTTTGGGTTTTTATGGAGGCTTCATTACATATGCAAGATTGATTAAGCCAAGCTGTTCGCCATTGGTGATCAACTTAACCTTTAGCCCTTCTCCGCTCCCCAAAGGTTGGGGTATAGGGCTGAAAGTCCCAACCCTGTAATCATGCCTTGGTCTTTCTGGTGACCAACCCCCATTTTAAAGATACCTAGGGGCTGTCAGCCAGTAGTCAACTTGCTTGCATACAAAAAGACTTCTCTTTGGAGATTCCAAGGATGTTACGAGTTGTATGTCAGGAAATGGGTTTGGAGGCCAATTATAACATCACAATTACATCAGTTGAGTTTGAGATGTTGAACCTGCTTTGTATAACTCTCTTTTGTACATTATTGGATTTGATTTGCTAATATTTTGTTGAGGAATTTTGCATCATTGTTCATGAGAGATTGGTCTGTAGTTTTCTTTACTTACAATGTCTTTGTCTGGTTTTGGTATTAGGGTAATGCTGGCCTTGTAGAATGAGTTAGGAAGTGTTCCTTCTGCTTCTGTCTTCGAAAGATGAGGCAGAAGGAACACTTCCTAACTCATTCTTCGAGAATTGGTTTAATTTCTTCCTTAAATGTTTGGTAGAATTCATCAGTGTACCCATCTAGGCCTAGTGCTTTCTTTTTTGGATGGTTATTAATTATTGATTCAGTTTATTTAATAGATATAGGCCCATTCAGATTTTCTGTTTCTTCTTGTGTGAGTTTTGGCATATTGTGTCTTTTTTTTTTTTTTGAGATGGAATCTCACTCTGTTGCCCAGGCTGGAGTACAGTGGCGTGATCTCGGCTCACTGCAATCTCCGCCTCCTGGGTTCAAGCAATTCTCCTTCCTCAGCCTCTGGAGTACCTGGGATTACAGGTGCCCGCCACCATACCCGGCTCATTTTTGTATTTTTAGTAGAGACAGCGTTTCACCAATGTTGGCCAGGCTGGTCTTGAACTCCTGACCTCAGGTGATCCGCCCGCCTTGGCCTCCCAAAGTGCTGGGATTACAGGCGTGAGCCACCGCCCCTGGCTGGTATATTGTGTCTTTTAAGGAATTAGTTCATTTCATCTAGGTTATCAAAATTGTAGTTCATAGTGTTATTATTCTTTTAATGTCCATGAGATATGTATTGATATCCCCTCTTTCATTTCTGTTGTTAGTAATTTATATACCTTCTCTTCTTAATTAGCCTGGCTAGGAGTGATTTGTTTTTTAACAAATTTGTTCACTGGATGATATTTAAAATTTACCATAAATTAATTAGGCCTGCCAAGGCCAGCATTACTCTCTGTATTCTTATTCTTATTCTTATTTTTTTTTTTTTTGAGACAGAGTCTCGCTCTGTCACCCAGGCTGGAGTGCAGTGGCGCAATCTCGGCTCACTGCAAGCTCCACATCCCAGGTTCACGCCATTCTCCTGCCTCAGCCTCCCGAGTAGCTGGGACTAAAGGCGCCCACCACCATGTCAGGCTTATTTTTTTGTATTTTTAGTAGAGATGGGGTTTCACCGTGTTAGCCAGGATGGTCTCGATCTCCTGACCTTGTGACCCGCCCACCTGGGCCTCCCAGAGTGCTGGGATTACAGGCGTGTGCCACCGCGCCCAGCCTACTCTCTGTATTATTATAATCGTTGTTTAGGCTTTAAATAGGGATCATATGTACTAATTCTCCAGTAATATCATTTGCCACTTTGCCGGAATACTATGATTAACAAAAATGGACCACAAATTTGATTTTCTTGGTGGTTTGTCTGTATTCTCTCCTTACCCATGGATTAGGAGTCACTGAGGTAGCATGAAGTAATAGAAATACCAAGGCATGGTATTTAGAGCCAGAAATAACTAGTCAGAATCCTAATTCTAACATTTTGGCCTTAACAATCTGCATAAGTCTGAGTTTCATCATCATTAAAAATGTAATAATGATAATATTTCAGTGTTGATATGAGGAACAGAAACATTTAATGCTTTTGAATGTAGTAGGTGCTAAAGTAGACATTCATAAACAGTGCTTGCTTTTATTATTATTTTTACTATTATGATTTATGCTCATTAGCAGCATTATTGCTATTATTATTGGAAAAATGTAGGTAGGACTACCATATTCAACTTTAAAAACTCTTTCATTATCTGTTTAACAGACATCTGCTTAATATTGATCAAACAAGAGACAGTTCATGGAATGTTTCCTATCATAATGAGGTTTGATTTCGGGGGACTTTGTGATATATATAGACTGATGATACATGGAATTTTGTTTCTGGCCTTTTTTAATGGTTGTCATATGGGACCTCATTGTCCATTGCTCTGGCATCATTTAAGTATTGACCATTGGCATCAATTATCTTTTAAGGGTAAGGATATGTTTAAAGAAGCTAATGATGTCTGCCTCCATTTGTAATTAAGCTTTAACTTTATATGGCTGGGTATTACTAAGGCACAGCTAAGAGCATTTTTTTGATGGTCAGCAGTACTAAGTTCTTTACGTCAAAAAGAGCTGTCCTAGGCAGAAGATTTTTGCTCTACCCTAGCAAATCATAATAAGTAAAAGCAAATTTTCACATAAAAATTAATTCCAAAAAAGATTTGGGAGTGTTCACACATGATTTTATGAAAAATTTTTTTAACCCATATCAGCTTAAAATTTGCAACTTAATGAATGAATCTTGAGGACATTATGCTAAGTGAAGTAATCCAGTCACAGAAAGACAAATACTATTTGATTCTACTTATATGAAGTACCTAGAGTAGTCAAATTCATAGGGACAGAAAGTAGAGTGGTGGTTGCCAGGGAATCTCAAGGAGGGAGAAATGGGAAGTAATAGTTTCATAAATACAGAGTTTTAGTTTTACCAGATGATAAGATTTTTGTGAATGGATGGTGGTGATGGTAGCGTGACAGTATGACTATACTTAGGCCGCAGGACTGTATGCTTATGATGGTAAATTTTATATTTTGTGTATCTTACCACAACTAAAAAATTACAAGTTAGGCCAGTCGCAGTGGTTTACACCTGTAATCCCAGCACTTTGGGCGGCCGAGGGGGGTAGATTACTTGAGGTCAGGAGTTTGAGACCAGCCTGGCCAATATGGCAAAACCTCATCTCTACTAAAAAATACAAAAATTAGCCAGGCATGGTGGCATATGCCTGTAATCCCAGCTACTTGGGAGGCTGAGGCACAAGAATGGCTTGAACTGGCGAGGTGGAGGTTGCAGTGAGCTGAGATTGTGCCACTGCACTCCAGCCTGGGTGACAGAGCGAGACTCTGTCTAAACAGAAAAATGCAATGTAAATATAACAGTACATATTAGAATATCACAATAAGATAAGAATTTTGGAAATGTTTAGGGTCATTCTTTACATAAATATGATTGACTTATTTGGTGATCCTTATAATATGATTGACTTGTTTAGAGGGAGGACTGAGTGCTAAGTTGAAGATGATTCGTGTTGAATGAGAGAGAACAGAGAGACAGCAGGGAGAGAGAGTGTGTGTGTGTGTGTCTGTGTGTGTGTGTGTGTAAAAGTGTATAGCATTAGTGCTTCTGGGGGCTGAAACAGAGTGGAGAGAATTAAACACAGTGAAACATGAGAATTCAAAAGAATAGGCAAAATGAGTGATGATTAACGTTACAAGGCCCACAGACCTACTCCACTGTGTTATCAGCCAACGTAGTTGGGCTGGATCATGGATATTACTGAGAAGTATGAAATCTCTTAAAAACAATCATGATCTAAAGAGTTGGATTGTTGTTACTCAGAAGTATGAATTATCTCAAAACAGGGTTCTAAAGAGGTAGTTTATTTCAATATCTAGCAAATAAATCTGTGTTTACAAAACATGAAATACCTATAATAGCGTCTGAATCTTTAAGGATAAAATATTACATGTCAGCCCCTTAATATCTTCACTTCTTTCTTGAGGTCAGAAATCCTATGTCTTTTGTTTCAGATATTAATAGCTGCAATTGCCTCTTTTTTTTTTTTTTTTTTTTTTTTTGAGACAGAATCTCGCTTAGTCACCCAGTCTGGAGTGTAGTGGCACAATCTCAGCTCATTGCAACCTCAATCTCCTGAGTTCAAGCGATTCTCCTGCCTCCGCCTCCCAAGTAGCTGGGACTACCAGCACGAACCACCACGCCCAGCCAATTTTTTGTATTTTTATTAGAGACGGGGTTTTGCCATGTTGGCCAGGCTGGTCTTGAACTCCTGACCTCAGGTGATCCGCCTGCCTCGGCCTCCCAAAGTGCTGGGATTACAGGCATGAGCCACTGCGCCCGGCCTCAGTCTTTCACTTTTGTTTTATGAAATGTCGGAATATGTGCTAGATGACTTTTAGTAAACTGTATCTGTTTAAGTAATATGTAAATGTTAAAAAGCAACTTATTAGCCCTAGTCCCTGGAAGCTTGATTTCTGTGTAACATACTTACATATTAAATATAGTCATTCAACAAACATATATTAAGTGTTCTCTATGTGGCTTTGGTCTAGTAGGGTTCTGGGTTTCAGAGATAAGCCATAGTCCTTACCCACAAAGAACTTAAATCTGAGGATAAAATTGGAGGGGCCAGACATGTAGTTAATTTTATAAATCACTGTCACATCAAAAATGGAAATGGCCATTGGGCCCAGGCCCACCTTAACTAGTGGATTTAAATGGTATTGTGGTTTAACTGTATTCTGGGACCCATTAGTCACGGTAGAGGGTAAAGAGAAGGTGGTGTGGTATGTTTTCTCCATTTATAAACTACTGACTGACTAATTTATATAGTCTTTCCTCATTTTCACTGGGAAAAGTGAGCACTTAGGGAGATGATTGTCTTGCCCAGAACCACTATTCCTCAGGATAGAGGCTAGAAATTAGGTCTCCTGACTGAATCTGTTGCACCTTCCTACTTTATTGCATCTCTTAAGCCTCCTTTAGAATAAAAGTATCAATTACTTGTGGAAGTCAGTTACACAGACATCTTACGGGATACTTTTCTTGTAAAAATAGCGTTTTTTTCTCCTTTTTTCTTCTCCTTAGGACAGCGGATTATTATTCATAATAAAGTTTATAGTCTTTATCAAAATGTAAGGGAAAGCTTCCTAATTTTCCTTTTTTTTTTTTGTTTTTTTGTTTTTTTGTTTTTTTTTGGTGAGATGGAGTCTCGCCCTGTCGCCCAGGCTGGAGTGCAGTGGCACGATCTCGGCTGACTGCAACCTCTGCTTTCCAGGTTCAAGCATTTCTCCTGCCTCAGCCTCCCGAGTAGATGGGATTACAGGTGCACGCCACCACGCCCAGCTAATTTTTTGTATCTTTAGTAGACACTGGGTTTCACCATGTTGGCCAGGCTGGTCTCAAACTCCTGACCTCATGATCCACCATTCTCGGCCTCCCAAAGTGCTGGGATTACAGGCGTGAACCACCGTGCCTGGCCCTAATTTTCCATTTTTACAAAATGATAGTCCAATTGCTTTTTAGCCTTATCTGATATAGATAAATGATTAAAGGTACTAGGTCCCAAAACAGTTCTGTTGCCTTCCTTTGGGTGCACAATCAGTGGGTATTATCTATTTTGTATTTTTATATCTGTGATCCTTTGATGAAACTGCTGTTTCATCATGACTGCTGTTTCTTTTTTAAGTTTTGCTTCATTATTCTTGGACTGGATATGTTTTGATAGGTCAAGTAGATAACATCAAATGTATCATTTGGAGTTTAATGCTCTTAAAAGACATCCTTTTCCAGCTTTGGTCTTTCAGATACGTTTTATTCATTAACTTCTTGGCATCAAATTATACCATCATCCTGACATGTTCTTTTTGGAAGAAGTATTTTAGTATGTCTTATAGGTAAATTCTAAAATGGTATTAGAGTATTTGGACCTTTGGGTTGGATCACTTGAAATCTAATAATACAATTAATTTTTTTATGCAGATCTTTGATGGAAAACAGATTCCACAGAGAATGGTTGATGGATGGAATGCTTTCTTCTTTGATAAAACAGAAGAACTGGTAATTTTAAAATAGTCTTTATGTTCTAGAATGCTCACTGATATATGTTAGCATCTGTATAATTTAATAATTTTACTTAAATTTGCTGTCCATGTTTTGGATAGTACTGTATAGACATTGTTCTTTTCTTTTTTTTTTTATATGTAGAAAAAGCGTTTACCTTCACTTGGAAAGAACACAGAATCATTAGGGGAGCTTTGGCTGGGACTGCTTCGTTTCTATACTGAAGAGTTTGATTTCAAGGAATATGTAATTAGCATTCGGCAGAAAAAGCTGTTGACAACTTTTGAGAAGCAGTGGACTTCCAAGTGCATTGCAATTGAAGGTAACATTTAAGCTGATATTAATTCAGGAGCAACCAAAATTTGGTCAACGAAATTGAGGGGAAAACTGAAATACATTAGGATTTGGAAGATTCTTCCTCTTTTATCAGTTTTCCTCCTTTAATGTGTAATTTTAGAGGAAGAGTTTGCTGATTTGTATAGTCTGAGTACATATAAGTATTAGACTTCAGCGGTGACTTCTAAGTATATTTTTATGGTACAGTGAATGTAATTCTTAATCATTGATATATTTCTTTTGTAGACCCTTTTGACTTGAATCATAACCTTGGTGCTGGAGTTTCCAGAAAAAGTAAGTTTTAAATATAGAGATTCTCTGATTTTAAAACTCTGACACATTAATGTCTGCATCTTTATTGTTTTCTTCTTTCTTTAATAGTGACCAATTTCATCATGAAAGCATTTATCAATGGAAGGAAACTTTTTGGTACCCCTTTTTATCCACTCATTGGCAGAGAAGCTGTAAGTTTACATTATATGAATTGTGAATCTTTTCTTTTTTTAAATAGAACAAGAAACTTAATTGTGTTTCCAAACTGATGTTAGATATAGGGAAAGAGATGGTCATAGCTTTGTATATTTTTTCTTATTGCATTTATCATAGTCCATAGTGAGATATATATTTTCAAAATTTTATTTGTTTAAACTATTTGTTAAATTCTGTCTTCTCCACTAGACTATAAGCCCCACGAAGACAGGATTCATGTCTGTAAGGTTCACCTATTTCCAGTACATACATAGTGTCTGGCGCATTGGATGTACCAAATAAGGATTTGTTGAGTGAATGAGAATAGTCAGTCAAGACTCTGGATTGTTGAATTTTAGGTGCTGCTCATTGTCCCTCTTTTATCTTCAGAAATCTCGATGAAAATATACACATAGAAGACAAAACCGAAGAAATATTTTATTATTTGTTGGGGCTTCTCTAATTTTTGTATAGCTTTAGTAAGCTGAATTAGATGGCATGGAACCGAGAAGTTTCCTTCTACCTGAATTGGGTGGGAGAGTGTCACACATTCCTCTTGGCCTCACTCTGGTTTTTGCCTGCTTTCTTATGGTTAGGGAGACTGCAGGAGGTTTTAGCTTCAGAGCAGGAGACTTAGAAGAAATCTCAAGAAAGAGAACAAATGTATTAGGGTTCTCTTAGAGGGACAGAGCTAATAGGATATATATAATCCTATTATATATATACACAGACACACACACACATATATATATACACATATATACATATATATACACACATACATGTATATACATATATATACACACATATACATGTATATACATGTATATACACATACATGTATATACATATATATACACATACATGTATATACATATATATATACACACATATATGAGTTTATTAAGTATTAATTTACATGATCACAAGGTCCCATAATAGAGTGTCTGCAGCTGAGGGGCAAGGAGAGCCAGTCCAAGTCCCAAAATTGAAGAACTTGGAGTCCGACATTTGAGGGCTGGAAGCATTCAGCACAGGAGAAAGATGTAGGCTGAGAGGCTAGTCCTGTCTTGCCTTTTCACATTTTTCTGCTTGCCTTATGTTCACTGGAAGATGATTAAATTATGCACACTAGATTAAGTGCAGATGTGCCTTCCCCAGCCCACTGACTCAAATGTTAATCTCTTTTGGCAAAACCCAACAGACACACCCAGGATTAATAGTTTGTGTGCTTCAGTCCAATGAAATTGACATTCAGTATTAACCATCACAACAAACGTGCATTTACATTGCATAGTGAATGTCCTTGAACTTGTTCAGTCCAGTTTCAGGTGTCTTATTTCTTGGGGGTAGAATAAGAAAAGCAGAGAGAAGTCTTCTTTTCCCTTGGAGCACTGGTTCTCAGATACTTTTATTTTCTAGCCTCTTATGGGGTAATAATAATTAAAATGGAGAAAAATAAAATAATAGTAAAATTTGAAACAATGCAAAAAATGTAAAAACGAAATTACTGAAAAAAGGAAAACCAAACAATTTTTTTTTCTTTTTTTGAGACGGAGTCTCGCTCTGTCACCAGGCTGGAGTGCAGTGGCGTGATCTTGGCACACTGCAACCTCCGCCTCCTGGATTCAAGCGATCCTCCTGCCTCAGCCGAGAGTAGCAGGGACCACAGGCGCCCGACACCACGCCCAGCTAATTTTTGTATTTTTAGTAGAGAGGGGATTTCACCATGTTGACCAGGATGGTCTCAATCTCCTGACCTCATGATCCACCTGCCTTGGCCTCCCAAAGTGCTGGGATTGCAGGCATGAGCCACCGCATTTGGCCTAATTTGACTAATATTTTAATTGAAATAGAAACAATGAAAAACAGATCAAAACAAATACAATGATACACTGATAAAGCATTTTACCTGAGAATTGTGAGGAATCCAACTATTTGTGTTTATATATGCATATGTTCAGTAGGAACCTCACAGTGTTGCATGCTGTCAGACCTTTTTGTTTATTTTTGTTTTTTTGATACAGGGTCTTGCTCTTGTCCCCAGGCTGGAGTGCAGTCGTGCAATCATAGCTCACTGCAGCCTTGGACACCTAGGCTCAAGTGATCCTCCTCCCTTGGCCTCCTAAAGTGCTGAGATTTCAGGCATCAGCCACCATGCTCAGCCCCATGTAGTGACACTTTTTTTTTTTGAGACGGAGTTTTTGCTCTTGTTGCCCAGGCTGGAGTGCAATGGCGCGATCTCGGCTCACCACAACCTCCGCCTCCCAGGTTCAAGCGATTCTCCTGCCTCGGCCTCCCAAGTAGCTGGGATTACAGGCACGCGCCACCACACCTGGCTAATTTTTTTGTATTTTTAGTAGAGACGGGGTTTCACCATGCTGGTCAGGTTGGTGTTGAACTCCCAATCAGGTGATCCGCCCATCTCAGCCTCCCAAAGTGCTGGGATTACAGGCGTGAGCCACTGTGCCCAGCCTTTTTTTTTTTAATTTTTTTTTTGAGACAGAGTCTCACTCTTGTTTCCCAGGCTGGAGTGCAACGGCACAATCTTGGTGCACTGCAACCTCTGCCTCCCAGGTTCAAGCGATTCTCCTGCCTCAGCCTCCCAAGTAGCTGGGATTACAGGCATGTGCCACTACGCCCAGCTAATTTTGTATTTTTAGTAGAGACGGGGTTTCGCCATGTTGGTCAGGCTGGTTTTGAACTCCGGACCTTAGGTGATCCACCTGCCTCGGCCTCCCAAAGTGCTGGGATTACAGGCGTGAGCCGCTGTGCCTTTCCGAGACTTTTTAGTAGAATGCTAAATTAGAGTCCTCGGTAAACTGGAAATGGGCCCATTTTAGTTTATGCATGCAAATTTTTAGTAATTCTTAATAATGCAATATATTATAATTACATATAGATGTCAAAATCTTTGGTCTTGAATGTCATTTGGGGCCTAGCAGAAGGGGCCCATGAGTCTGCTAATCATTTTTTGATTTATTTTATTCTCTTTCAAAAGTCAGTATGTAGTATTCCATAACTTGGATATACTAGTTTATCTAACTTTTCTTTTGATGGACATTTAGGTTATCTTCATTATGTCAGTGTTAACAACTTACACAGGTTGAGCACTCCAAATCTGAAGCCTGAAATTTACTGAGCACTGACATGACCCTCAAATGAAATGCTTATGTGGAGCATTTGAGATTTCAGATTTTCTGGTTTGGGGTGCTCAGCTGGTATAAATGTAATGCAAGTATTCCAAAATCCAAAACACTTCTGATCTCAAGCATTTTGGATAAGGGATTCTCAACCTGTATGGTCAAAAATGTCCTTGTACATAGTCTTTCATGCTTATACTTCATACCTATTTCACTCCTAGTTACTGAGATTATAACAGCATGCAAGATAGATTTGCCTTATTTCCCTAAATTAATGAAAGATAAAGATAAGTATATTTCCTGTCCTTTCATCTTTCTTGTTCTTTCAGTTATTTTTCTACATCATTATGTTCTCCTATATATTGACCCATTTTGTCCCTATCCATCAGCTGTCTTCTGTCATTTTTCTTCCCCATTTAACTTACATTTTGTCTGCTCTCTAGCATACACTTTGGCTTTTTTTTTTTTTTTTGAGGTGGAGTCTCACTCTGTCACCCATGCTGGAGTGCACTGGTGCCATCAAAACTCACTGCAGCCTCCACCACCCAGGTTCAAGTGATCGTCCTGCCTTGGCCTCCAGAGTAACTGGGATTACAGGTGCACGCCACCATGCCCAGATAATTTTTGTATTTTTAGTAGAGACAGGGTTTCACCACGCTGGCCAGGCTGGTCACAAACTCCTGACCTCAAATGATTGCCCGCCTCGGCCTCCCAAAATGCTGGGATTACAGGTGTGAGCCACCTCGCCTGGCCATCTGACATATACCTTGAATTGCTTTGTGCCACAGTCCTTCCTGTGCACTCTTCTGTATTGTACCTTATATGAATTCAGGTATCCACCATGTGCCTGTCCTTGGGTAGCTGTACACTAATGGAAAAAAGTAAAAAAGCTAGACAATTTTAAGTATATAGTACAGTCATAAACGTTTACCAGCCTCAACTGGACTTTCAGTACTGTGTGACAGTCATATTTCTTTAGTTACCTTTAGCTCCTATTCTATTAGAACTATTTCAAATTTACTTATTTTACTCAAAATGCAGTATGCCGGCCAGGCGCGGTGGCTCATGTTTGTAATCCCAGCACTTTGGGAGGCTGAGGCAGGCAGATCACAAGGTCAGGAGTTGGAGACCAGCCTGGTCAACGTGGTGAAACCCCATCTCTACTAAAAATACAAAAAAAAAAAAAAAAAAAAAATTTAGCCGAGAGTGGTGGTGCACGCCTGTAGTCCCAGCTTGGCTGAGGCAGGAGAATCGCTTGAACCCGGGAGGCGGAGGTTGCATTGAGCTGAGATTGCAGCACTGCACTCCAGCCTGGGCAACAGAACGACACTCTGTCTCAAAAAAAAAAAAAAAAAAAGCCATATGCCCTGCACTTTGTCCCACCTTTTACCTCTGCCCTTCTCACTCCAGTGGATGCTTTTCCTCTGAGACAGTACGTAGTATCAAATAAATAGTCCTTTAGCTTTCTGCTACTAGATCTATAAATCTACCTGCATCTATAGGTATCTCTTCTTTATGAAAAATTACTTCTTACATATGTACTCTAGATTATTCTGTCTACTTTGAGTCTTCAACCTCTTCATCTGTGAAAAGCGTTTTCAGTTAAAATACATAAAATGTCATTGCAGATCAGCATTTATAGATGAACAGTTGCTCTCAGTTTTAATGATAGGGAACACTAACTTTGAACCCCAATTAAATGAACTGTTATCTCCCTCCAAAATAATTATATTCTTAGTGGTAAACTTATAAAAGATTATATCTAATTATTAGTATTAGCATATTTAACATTTCTTCAATAAAATTTTTTTGTGGAAATTTGCTTTCTCTCATTATGTAAGTACGTATATTACATCTTCAATTTTGTCACAGCACCTAAAAGATTTACTACTTGACTCTTTACAGAATAAGTTTGTTGGCCTCAGGTGTAGGCCGCCCTAACTGGGGCGGAAGGATAGAGAAAAGTGGATTCAAGAGATATTCAGCAATAGAATGGATACAACTTGGTCATTAATTAAAAGTGATGGGTGAGAGAGAACAAGTTCAGGATGCTTCTTAGGTTTCTGTCTTAAGCATCTTGGGTGAATTAAGACCTTTATGTTGTCCTGGCAAAAACTAGGATGATGATTTTAATTAGCTACATTGATTTATCAGTAGTAATGAAGAATTGTATCTCTTGTCTTTAAAAAAAAAAAAAAAAAAAAAACACAGGATGGGCATGGTGGCTCATGCCTGTAATCTATTACTTTGGAAGGCCAGGGCAGGAAGATCGCTTGAGGCCAGGAGTTCAAGACCAGCCTGGCCAACACAGCGAGATGCTGTCTCTAAAAAACCAAATAAAACCAAACCAAACAGCTTCATTGGAATAGAGTCCACATTATATACAATTCACTGTGCAATTCAGTGGTTTTTAATATATATACAGGATTGTGCAACCGTCCCCACAATTTAATTTTAGAACATTTTCATCTTCTCTAAAATAAACCCTTGTCCTCATTAGCAGTCAGTTCTCATTCCGTCTCTTCCCCTCTTCTCAAACCACTAATCCACTTTTTGTCTCTGTAGATTTGCCTATTTTGGACATTTCATATAAGTGAAATCATATGATATGTAACATTTTGAAACTGGCTTCTTTCATTTTAGTGTGATGTTTTCAAGGTTCCTTCATGCTGTACCATGTATCAATACTTCATTCCCTTTTATGGCTGAAAAATATTCCATTGTATGGATATACCACATTTTATTATCCATTCATCAGTTGTTGGACATTTGAGTTGTTTCTACTTTTTGGCTATTATGAATAATGCTGTTGTGAATATTTGTGTGCAAATTTTTGTGAGAATATGTTTTTATTTCTCTTGGTATATACTTAATAGTGTAATTGCTGTGTCATTTTGATAAATTTATGTTTAACTTTTCAAGGAACTGTTTTCTAAAGTGGCTGTGCTACTTTACATTCCCACCAGCAATACATATGTGTTCTAGTTTTTCTGCATCCTCACCAATACTTGTTATTGTCTTTTTAAAGCTATAGGCATCTTATTGGGCGTGTCTCTTATACTTTTATCCTTGAGTTTAGGTAAATGTGACAACACCTAAGTGGACATGTTCTCTTGACTTCCAGAAGGATGGACACTGTTAGGACCAACTAGTCTTCGTGACAGTGCAAAACTAAGCTAAAGTTTAGAAGGATAAGCAAGGTGCAAAGATAAAGCAGAAATAAGTCTGGTTCTAAGACTTTGGAAAATTATTTACTTCTTTTTAGTTCCCTACCTTTTCTTTAGGTCTGTTCCTCTTTACATAATACATGTTACATGTTCTTAAAAAGCTGTATTAAATCCAATCATATTTCACATAAACCAGATAATTGCTTTTTTTGTTGTTGTTAATTTATTTATTTTTAGTTTTTAGAGACAGAGTTTCGCCACTTCGTCCAGGCTGGAGTGCAGTGGCTATTCATAGGCACAGTCATTATGCACTACAGCCTCAAACTCCTGGCCTTGAGTGGTCCTCCCATCTCAGCCTCCTGAGTAGCTGGGACTACAGACTTTTTTTTTTTTTTTTTTTTTTTAGATGGAGTCTTGCTGTGTCACCCAGGCTGGAGTGCAGTGGCACGATCTTTGCTTACTGCAATCTCCACTTCCTGGATTCAAGCAACTCTCCTGTCTCTTCCTCCTGAATAGCTGGGACTACAGGCACACGCCACCATGCTCAGCTAATTTTTGTGTTTTTAGTAGAGACGGGGTTTTGCCATGTTGGCCAGGCTGGTCTCGAACTCCTGACCTCAGGTGATCCCCCTGCCTCAGCCTCCCAAAGTGTTGGGATTACAGGCATGAGTCACTGCACCTAGCCTACAGGCAATTTTGTACAGAGAATAATTCCTTTCCAGAAGTAGCCCGATATAGCAGAAAGCATGAGTTTTGTTGTGAGACAGACTTAGCTCTACATCTTTTATGTGAGACTTAACCTGTTTTTTCTATGGGCAAATGACCTGAACTCCTGAATCAGTTTCCCCATCTGTAAAGTGAGGATGAAAATAGTATCTACTTTATTGAGATTTTTCTTATTCATCTGTAGCATCTTTGTGTAATGTCATATGGATGTAACTTGGTTAGTACTATTAGCAACTGTGATGATGATGATTGTGAATCTTATTTTCATATCTTGGGTTTTCTTACAGTGAAATATTTGTTGCTGTTATTTTCTTTGTAAAAATAAACCATGTTTGCATCTTGGTCTTCTTTCCATTTGGATTCAAAAGTTTTATAGTGATTCCTCCTAGTAAAATTGCATTTTCTCCCTAGGAGTACTTCTTTGATTCCAGAGTATTAACAGATGGAGAACTGGCTCCCAATGATAGATGTTGCCGTGTGTGTGGAAAAATAGGCCACTACATGAAAGACTGCCCTAAAAGGAAAAGGTTGGCAAATGAATATATATCAACATTTTGAGGAAAATAAATGAGAGGCCAATTTGTAGCTATAATTATGTTCAGAAATGTTTAACTGAGAAAGTTTAGGGTATTTAATTATACCTAAGGTAAATGTTCATTTGAGTGGAATTTTGTAATAGGGTAAGATTTGCATGTGGTATAATAGTATCTTCTAACATTCATTTGTTCATTTATTCATTAATTCACTCAGTTTTTTTTTGTTTTTGTTTTTGTTTTTATTTTTGTTTTTTTTGAGACGGCATCTCGCCCTGTCGCCCAGGCTGGAGTGCAATGGTGTGATCTCGGCTCACTGCATCCTCCGCCTCCCAGTTTCAAGTGATTCTCCTGCCTCAGCCTCCCAAGTAGCTGGGATTACAGGCGCACACCACAATGCCCAGCTAATTTTTTGTATCTTTAGTAGAGATGGAGTTTCACCAACATTGGCCAGGCTGGTCTCGAACGCCTGACCTCGTGATCTGCCTGCCTTGGCCTCCCAAAGTGCTGGGATTACAGGCGTGAGACACCATGCCAGCCAGTTTTGTGTTTTTTTTAAATGAAGAACTGTTTATTGACACCGTCTATGTGTTGGGAATTGTTCTAGGAGAAATAAAAGTGACCAAGACGTTGGGTTCTTGCTGAGGATCTCACAGTCATGCAAACTGATAATTAAAATACAATTAATGGAATTCTTGAGATAACATGCTGTGAGCTATATTTATAGATCTTGGGGAATGTACATCTTCTATACTCCCTCAAAATATATCTACGAATTATAGTCTCCCAGGTTCTGTATACTGTAGTAGGTCAGGAAGATCTCTTTCTTTTGTCATCAAGTCTGGCCTAAAATAAAAACTTGGAACTTTTGAGACAGAACGAACTTCCAGTTTCCATCACTGCTATTTACTATTAAATTTAGTCAAGACACTTATCTTCTCTAAGCCTCAATTTCTTTTTAAAACTGGAGATAATAAATATCAACCTCTAAGGATTGTTAAAGGTTTAAGATTTGGTATTTTAAAAAATTTAATATAATATTGTTTTACAAAACTACTGGAAAACCGAGTTCCTGCCAAATGAGCAGGTGTGCCATAAATGTTTGTTCCCTTGCCTTCAAAAAGACGCATGAAATGATGGGCATGTTAGTCCTTTTGTTATTGTGAGAGTCCTGCATAGTTTGTTCTGTGACTCACTTAATTTACAAGTCCCTAGCCCCACATTATTGGTATCAGCAGTTTACTGTTTAGACTAAAGAAGAAAGACAGTGAAGAAGAGAAGGAAGGGAATGAAGAAGAGAAAGATTCCCGAGATGTTCTTGACCCCCGAGACCTCCACGATACTCGAGACTTTAGAGACCCGAGAGACCTCAGATGTTTTATATGTGGAGATGCTGGACATGTACGAAGGGAGTGCCCAGAGGTCAAGCTGGCCCGTCAGAGGAATAGCAGTGTGGCAGGTAAATAGAAAAGGCCAAACATAGTTTCTGGTAGAAACGAAGTCATTTATGTTGCTTGCATGCTAAATGACCCTAATTCCTCTCTGTTGCAAACCTAATTGTATGATTTTGGACCTTACAATTTCTTAAAGAGATAAAATTTAGACAATGAGGCTTTTACTTTTAATAGTACTTGGATAAGTTTATTATCAAGGTTTCCACAGTCTGTTGTATTCAATTATCTCCCTGTAAGTATTCTTTAGATTTTTATTTTTATTTTTATTTTTTTGAGATGGAGTCTCGCTCTTGTTACCCAGGCTGGAGTACAGTGGCGCGATCTCGGCTCACTGCAACCTCTGCCTCCCGGGTTCAAGCGATTCTCCTGCCTCAGCCTCCTGAGTAGCTGGGATTACAGGCGCATGCCACCACGCCCAGCTAATTTTTAGACTTTTAGTAGAGACATGGTTTCACTGTGTTGGCCAGGCTGGTCTCAAATTCCTGACCTCAGGTGATCCACCCACCTTGGCCTCCCAAAGTGCTGGGATTACAGGCGTGAGCCACCGTGCCCAGCCTATTCTTTGGATTTGAGTCAGATTCTTCATCTGTTTCTCTCACTAACATTCTTTACAAGAGACTTTTTTCCTAGAAACATATTGGAGAATTATATTTCTTCCCACTGCTGTTATGAGAGAAGGATACCTGTTCATGTTATATTTCACAAGGAATTTGAGAGTTAAATAGTAACCCAAGTAAGAGTTTATTAAAAAAAAATAAGAGAACATTTTAGAAGTAGTGATTTCCAGTTACTCAGATTCTTACTGCAGAAAGGTTTGTGTGTGTGTGAGAGAGAGAGAGAGAGAGAGACATAGAGAGAGACAGACTCTTGTTGCCCAGGCTGCAGTGCGTGGTATGATCACAGCTCAGTGCAGCTTTGACCTTCTGGACTCAAGTGATCCTCCCACCTCAGCCTCCCAGAATACTAGGATTACAGATATGAGCCACTGCACCCAACCAGAAAGTATTTCTCAAATAAATATGTTGTCTCCTTTAGAAAAGCAGAATAACATTTGTTCTTGCTTCTAGGATCAGTGTTATTTTTTTTCTTGATCTGCTAGTTTGACAAATAGCTTTTAAAATTAAGTAGCTCAGTTGCTGCAAGTCCTTCGTTAATATACTTAAGGTTTAAAAGTCCAAGTTTATAAAATTGCAGAGATATTTGAGATTCTTTTACATAAGAAGGGAGTTTATTTATTGTCATTTCTCTGCTACTTTCCTTATCTGTTGATTTTCTTTGTGATGCCTTCTCTTAGCAGCCCAGCTGGTCCGCAACCTTGTAAATGCTCAACAGGTGGCTGGTTCAGCTCAGCAACAGGGTGATCAGTCCATAAGGACTAGACAGTCATCAGAATGTGTAAGTACTCTGCCTGTGAATGTGTTAGTCTTGACTGATGATAGCAGTATCTTTAATGGGTGATAGTGTTTTCTCTCAGACTGGCTAATACAATCTTCCAGATTACACAGTGCTTTGTATATATGTCCTTGCTAGGCACATAAGGTGGAATGAGCATTCCTTTTGGAATAATGTAGATCTGGGTTTCTGTCTACAGAGAAGCTACTTAATTTATATGAGCCTACTCTTCAATTGTACAATAACTACCTAATAAGATGGATTAAAAATAAGGTAATGACTTTGAGGTTTCAGACTTTGCTTAGTGGAAAAATATCAGTACCATTAATAAAAATAGACCAAAAAATTGAGATGTTTTAGGCATTTAGTGTTGTTAGGGCAATATATACATGGCATTTTGCTTGCATGAAACTTCTGTCTTCTCATAGCTTGACCTGTGGATACCTAGTGAAATACACCCTGTAAAAAAACAGTATTGAATGAGAATTCAGACTCATAAGTTTATTTTACTATCTTTTCTTTTTTTTTAAGATGGAGTCTCACTCCATTGCCTAGGCTGGAGTGCAGTGGCGTGTTCTCGGCTCACTGCAACCCTACAATCCACACCCCTGGGATCATGCAATTCTGTCTCCATCTCCTGAGTAGCTGAACTGCAGGCAATACTATCACGCCCAGCTAATTTTTGTATTTTTAGTATAGACTGGGTTTCACCATATTGGTCGGGCTAGTCTTGAACTCCTGACCTCAGGTGATCCACCTGCCTTGGCTCCCCACAGTGCTGGGATTACAGGTGTGAGCCATTGCGCCCAGCCCAGACTCATAAGTTTAATATTGTTTGTTGAGTTGCTCTTAACCTTTGTGTAAATCTATATTCACCTTGTACTTCTTAATTAATAATGACTCTAAATAACACTCTAAATCTGACATAATATTCAGTGCTTTACACTTAGCAAATTTAATCCTTGGAGTGGCCATGTGAAGTGGTAGGTATTAGTATCATCAAATTTTACAAATTGGGAAACTGAGAATAAGAGAGTATAAAAATCAAACCGAAGTCTTTCTAGCATCAAATCCATTAACCGTTTAACATGCTAAATCTAATGTGATTTGTGTTTTAGAAAAAACATTCAAGTATTTGAAGAGTATTAGGGAGAATCTTTGGAAAACATTTAGGAAATTTTCCACCCTCACCTCAAACACTTGAATACCTATTATGTGCTTGATACTTTCATAAACAACAATAATCACATTTAATGTAGTTAACATTTGTTGAGTGTAAACTATGTGCTGTACATGCATTCATTCTTTGTGATTATAAAATATTTCAAAAGTACAGAAAAGTATAGAAAATAAATCTCTATGTATCATTACCAGGCTTTAACAGTTTTTAACATTGTTATTTTAGCTTTATTAAAAAATCACCCTCAGTTGAACACCCTGTACATTCTTCTTTGATCCCATTCCTATCTTAAAAGCTTCCTACCATCCTTCCCTTGCTACAGAAATGTATCTGCTATCTTGAACTTGGTGGTTATATGTTCCACATGCATTGTTCAGTTAATCTTCTCAAAAACCTGAGGCAAATTCTGATTATATTTTATAGGTAAAGAAACCGAGGTTTCAGTTTCTTGCCTGAGGTCAATAGACACTTGGAATCAGAACGCGAACCCTCAGGCTCTCTGTCAGCAAAACTTATGCTCTAACCACTTTTCTATGCTGCCCTAATTTTCATTTTATGCTACTAGTCCTCACTTTTCTCTCACCCGTGCTTTCGGAAAGAGTCTGTCTAATGGACATTGCTATTCTGATGTCTAACAAAGCACGTCAACATGCCTAAAATATAGTTAATCTTTCCTTTCAACCCCCAGGACTTGCCTCTTCCTCCTGTGTTTTATATCTCGTTGAATGATCCCATTTTCTATCTAGTTTCCAAAACTTTTCCCTCTCCTTCAACCTCTATGTTCAGTCACTAAGTCCTGTTGTTTCTGCCTTAAAAAAAGCTAGGTGTTTGCCTCACTCCTGTAATCCCAGCACTTTAGGAGGCTGAGGTGGGTGGATCACCTGAGGTCGGGAGTTTGAGACCAGCCTGACCAACATGGTAAAACCCCATCTCTGCTAAAACTACAAAAAATTAGCTGGATGTGGTGGCAGGGAACCTGTCATCCCAGCTAGTTGGGAGACTGAGGCAGGAGAATCACTCGAACCCAGGAGGCGGAGATTGCAATGTGCCGAGATTGCACCACCGCACTCCAGCGTGGGCAACACAGCGAGACTGTCTCAAAAAAAAAAAAGTATCTCACAGCCATTTGCTTCCCTCTATCCCTGTTTGTGTTTCCTTAGCCTAGGCTACTATCATCTCCTAATCAGTCTCAACAGCCTTTTAGCAGTCTCCTAATCAGTCTCAACAGCCTTTTAATTTTTACTTATCTATTTATTCATTCATTTTTGAGACAGCGTCTTGCTCTGTTGCCCAGGCTGGAGTGCAGTGGCACAATCATGGCTCACTGCAGTCTTGACCTCCCAGGCTCGGGTGATTCTCCCATGTCAGCCTCCAGAGTAGCTGGGACTCCAGGCATGCACCACCACACTTGGCTAATTTTTGTATTTCTTGTAAAGATGGGATTTCGACATGTTGCCCAGGCAGGTCTCAAACTCCTGAGCTCAAGTGATCTGCCTGCCTCAGCCTTTGAAAGTGCTAGGATTACAGTCTTGAGCCACTGTTCCTGTCTCTCATCAGCCTTTAAA